>NC_000001.11:51068986-51220501 GCF_000001405.40 Homo sapiens | reverse complement strand
ATCTGTAGGGAGCAGAACTGGCAAAATATGCCTAGCTAGATTTCAGAATTTCTATGCACCAGTGACTGCTATGTGCTTTTGTTCCCCACCACCACCTCTTTTGTTTATTGTTTTTGTTTTTTGAGACAGGGTCTTGCTCTGTCACCTAGGCTGGGGCACAGTGGCACAGTCACAACCCACTACAGCCTTCACTTCCTGGACTTAAGAGATCCTCCTGATGTACGCCCCACCTCTGCCCCAAGTAGCTGCGACCACAGATACATGCCACTATGCCCAGCTAATTTTTTTCTTTTTTTTTTTTTGAGATGGAGTTTTGCTCTGTCACCCAGGCTGGAGTGCAGTGGCGCAATCTTGGCTCACTGAAACCTCCACCTTCTGGGTTCAAGTGATTCTCCTGCCTCAGCCTCCTGAGTTGCTGGGACTACAGGCGCATGCCACCACACCCAGCTAATTTTTTGTATTTTTAGTAGAGATGGGGTTTCACTGTGTTAGCCAGGATGGTCTCCATCTCCTGACCTGGTGATCTGCCTGCCTCGGCCTCCCAAAGTGCTAGGATTACAGGCGTGAGCCACTGCACCTGGCCTAATTTTTTTTTCTTTTTTTTTTTTTTTTGGTAGAGATGGAGTCTCCCCATGTTATCCGGGCTGGTCTCGAACTCCTAGGCTCAAGGGATCCTCCCTCCTCAGCCTCCAAAGTGTTGGGATTACAGGCCGGGTGCGGTGGCTCACACCTGTAATCCTAGCACTTTGGGAGGCTGAGGTGGGTAGATCACCTGAGGTCAGGAGTTCCAGACCAGCCTGGCCAACATGGCAAAACCCCGTCTCTAACAAAAATACAAAAAATTAGCGGGGCACGGTGACAGGCGCCTGTAATCCCAGCTACTTGGGAGGCTGAGGCAGGAGAATCGCTTGAACCCAGGAGGTGAAGGTTGCAGTGAGCCAAGATCTCACCACTGTACTCCAACCTAGGTGACAGAGCAAGACTCCATCTCAAAAAAAAAAAAAAAAAAAAGTCTTGGGATTACAGGCATGAGCCACCATGCCAGGCTACCACCTCTTTTGAACAGAAGTGTCTATTGCAGTTCTTATGCCTCTATCACCATTATAGCTGGTTATATAAGGAGCAGATAGCAGATAACTTATCTCTTTAGTTCACAAGTCTTCAGGTTGAAAAGCTACACCCTAGGAACTACAGCTGAGGAGCCCACCTCCACATCTGGAACTTATTCAGATGATGAGATCATGGACCTTGATCCTGAGTCTGACGCTGTAATGTGCTGAATTTTGCTGGGTAGGTCCTTTGAAGATCTGAATATATTTTGCATGTGCGAGGAATGTAAATAATTTGTGGCCCGAGGGCCGACTGTTACAGATTAAAGATGGTTGTAAATTCTTAATTACTCTTACCATTGACAGGTGGGTAAGAGTATCAAGGAGTGCCTCCTCTTGAGTCTGGGTGGCCTCTGCGATTGCTTTGACCAATAGAATACTGCAGAAGTGACACTGTGCTACTTTCCAAGCCCAGGAAATTCAGACTGGTAACTACTATTTCCTGCCTCTTGGGAACACTGTCCCTTGGAGCCCACCACGTATTTGGCTGGAGAGATCATATTAAAACTACACGGAGAGATAGAGGGGCCTAAATGAAGCCAGCTTTCCAGCCACTCCTGCCAAGGCTTAAGGAATATGAGTGAAGGCTCAAGGCATGTGAGTGAATACCATGCAGTGACCCCAACTGACTTCATGTGGAACAGCAGAAGTGACCTGCCTAGCCCTGACTGAATACCTGACCCACACAATTATGAGAAATAATAAAATGGTTGTTGGGTTAAGCCACTAAGCTTTGGGGTAGTTTGTTACATAGCAGTGGATGACTGAAATACTCCATGACTTTGGGTCAGTGTCTCCTCTCTAGAACTATTTCCCCAACTTCAGCAGTGTTAGGCTAGGTTAGGTGAACTCTAAAGGCCTTTATAGCTCTGATTTTCAGTTCCGATGAAGACTAGTTGAAGTAGGTTGGGCTGCTTCTGATGGCATGTAGACATTTGTTGGATTACCAGAGGAACACACAATTTATATAATTAGGTACGCAGGCTGGGCGTGGTGGCGCATTCCTGTAATCCCAGCACTTTGGGAGGCTGAGGCAGGTGGACCAGGAGTTTGAGACCAGCCTGGGCAAGATGGCGAAACCCCATCTCTACAAAATATACAAAAGCTAGCTGGGCGTGGTAGTGCACATCTGTAGCCCCAGCTGCTTAGAAGGCTAAGGTGGGAGGATTGCTTGAGACTGGGAGGCAGAGGTTGCAGTGAGCCGAGATCAAGCCACTGCACTCCAGCCTGAGCAAAAGAATGAGACCCTGTTTAAAAAAAAAAAGAAAAAAAAGCAATAAATATTTTATTTTATTTATTTAATATAAATAAATATTATAATAATATAAATAAATATAAATAAATGGTGAAATCCCATCTCTACTAAAAAAATTCAAAAAAATTAGCCGGGCATAGTGGCGGGCGCCTGTAGTCCCAGCTACTCAGGAGGCTGAGGCAGGAGAATGGCGTGAACCTGGGAGGTGGAGTTTGCAGTGAGCCAAGATCGCACCACTGCACTCCAGCCTGGGTGACAGAGCGAGACTCCGTCTCAAAAAAAAAAAAAAAAAAAAAAAAAACTTGGCCAGAGGCCGGGCTCACCCTGTATCCCAGCACTTTGGGAGGCCAAGGTGGGTGGATCACTTGAGGTCAAGAGTTTGTGACCAGCCTGGCCAACATGGTGAAACCCTGTCTCTACTAACAATACAAAAATTAGCCAGGCATGGTGGCAGGTGCCTGTAATCCCAGCTACTCAGGAGGCTAAGGCAGAAGGATCGCTTCGACCTGGGAGTCAGAGGTTGCAGTGAGCTGAGATTGTGCCTCTGCACTCCAGCCTGGGGGATGACAGAGCGAGACTCCCTCTCAAAAAAAAAAAAAAAAACTTGGCCAGGCATGGTGGCTCATGCTTATAATTTCAACACTTTGGGAGGCCAAGATGGGAGGATCACTTGGGGCCCGAAGATTGAGACCAGCCTGGTCAACATAGTGAGACTCTGTCTCTAGAAAAAAAAAAAAAAAATCCAGTGTGGTGCATACACCTGCCTAGCAGCTCGGGAGGCTAGGGTAGGAGGATTGCTGGAGCCTAGGAGCTTGAGGCTACTGTGAGCTATGATCATGTCACTGCATTCCAGCCTGGCTGACACAGTGAGACCTTATCTCTAAAGAAAGAAAAAAAAAAACAACCTTGAATAGTAAATATGACCTCATTTTAAACAAATAATTTTTTTAACACATTCTATCTTCCAGAAATTGTATGAAGAGATGTGAAAATAAATGTTATAAGCAGTATAAACTGTGAATGTATTGTGATAGAAATGATTATATTTCTTTGGATAAATAAGAAAATCTTCTCAGGAAATAGGACATTTATGTATTATTTCTTTATTCATTATTAATTTATCATTATTTTAAATCAGAGCTAACATTCATTGAGCTCTAATCAGATGCCCGGCATTGTTCTAAATGTTTTACATGTATTATTTGGTTTATGACCTACAACTCTAAGAAGTAGTTACTATTATTTCCCACATTATATAAATGAGGAAGCTAAAGGAAAGAGAGTTTAGGTAACTTGCTCAAGGTCACCCATTAAGTAATCCTGGATTGGACCCAGGTGGAACAGACATCATGATTTTAACCATTAGGAGCAACATTTAAACTGGATCTTTTTCTTTTTCTTTTTTCTCACTCTGAAACTGCAGTAAAATAAACCGAGTCTTTTTTTTTTTTTTTTTGAGACAGGTCTCACTCTGTCGCCCAGACTGAAGTGCAGTGGTGCGATCTCCGCTCACTGCAACCTCCACCTCCCAGGTTCAAGCTATCCCCCCGCCTCAATCTCCGGAGTAGCTGGGACTGCAGGCGCGGGCCACCACGCCTGGCTAATTTTTATATTAGTGCCCAGCCTAAACTGGGTCTTAAAAAGAGAAGACTTGGGCCAGGCGCAGTGGCTCACGCCTGTAATCCCAGCACTTTGAGAGGCTGAGGCTGGCGGATCACTTGAGGGCAAGAGTTCAACACCAGACTGGCCAACATGGCGAAACCCTGACTCTGCTAAAAAAAAATACAAAAATTAGCCAGGCATGGTGGTGTGTACCTGTACTCTCAGCTACTTGGGAGGCTGAGGTGGGAGAATTGCTTGAATCTGGGAGGCGGAGGTTCCAGGGAGCCGAGATGGCACCACTGCACTCCATCCTGGGTGACAGAGTGAGACCTGTCTCAAAAAAAAAAAAAAAAAAGAGAAAGAGAAGACTGGTAGGCCAAAGGGCATTTTAGAGAGAAAAACACATACAAATATTTGATGAAATGAAAGTTCACTGTGTTCTAAGAATAACATTCAGGGAAGCTGAAATTTAGAGAAAGAACGTGTGTGTGTGTGTGTGTGTGTATGTGTGTGTGTGTTGGGAGGTAGTTTGGGGCCAGTTAATGGAGGACCTTGAATACTAGACAAAGGAGTTTGTACTTGATCCAGTAGGCTGTGAGAGCCACTGAAGTTGTTTTTCTGTTTTTCTTAATCAAGAGAGTCATATGATTAGCTCTGTGTTTTAGAAACAGCAATCTGGTGGCAAGGGGAAATGGACTAATGGAAGAGACTGGAGGCAGAGAAAAGGTAGTTAGGACTCAGTTGCAATGGTCTAATATTGGGGCCTGAACTAGGATGGTGGCCGTGGGAACCAAGGAATGCATGGCCTAGTGCTTATTTTTATAGCGAATGTATATTTTCTATAGGACATTCTATTTTGAAAGATTATTCAATGATGGCTGTTTTTTCTGCTTGGAGAGGCTTGGATTAAAAAGCTCGTTTTTGTAATTTGGAGGGTCAGGAACTCTGCCTACAACTCAGTGGTCCTTCTCACAGAGTAAATCAGATACACTGAGGCTTTACGGGTCAAGGGAAACCTCCCCTCTGCCCTCCAAAGGTTCACTGAAGAATCAGCTCACAAAAGGTAGATTAATTGGAGAAAAGGCATACACATTTATTTAATGTGCATACATGGGGAGAATCATGGGGTGATTGCCCATCCTACAGTGTGATTCAGAAGCTTGTAAGCTATTCTGGCAAAACAGGTTGTGAGAGGGGGAAGAGGAATTCTGTTGAGGGCATTACTAGGGAGAATAAATGAATCAGGGAACAGAGATTAACTTGTACATTATCTTGTGAAGGGGTTGCTTCAGGTGTGGTTACAGTCTTGGTCTTATAGGGAAGGGAAGAAAAAATAATTGTTCCTTTTGGAGAGTCTGGATGTTAGGCAGATAGGGACTTTGGGTGAGACAGTATATGTGCATGTTGGGGGAAGGTCAGAAAGACCTTGAGGCTTCTTCAGTTCAGCATGTCAAAACGCCATATTTTGTGGTATTGGTTTCCTGGCCCCAACATTACCCTGTCAGAAACTTCCCTAGAAGTTTCACACACTAAAAGCTGCCCATATCAGAAGATGGCATCGCAGATGGGCTTTCAAACAGAAGAAAAACAAAGGTTAATGTTTGGTACAATCTATAAACCGGCTTCCTTAGAGTCTGGAGGGCAGTTGGGTGAGTTGTCTGGATGTAAGACTTGAAGCATCTTCAGTTAACGTGGAAGTAGATGCTGGCAATCTGACAGGTTTTTCTTGCCTGCAGTTTGTATGTCACAACATATGAGCTTCAGCCTGGAGGGCCTCAGGAAAAAGACGGTAGCAATTGTATTGCGTCCAAGTCAGAAAAGTGGAAGACAAATTTGGAAACGTTAGTATAGGGACTTGTAACCAGGAAAGAATTTATGATTTCATCCTTACTGTAGGCAAATAACAAAAACTCACAAACAATGAACAGGGCTAGAATCAAATAGTGGGTGGACTATAGATTTCTTCTAAAACATAATTTTTCTTCTAAAACATAATTCTTCTCTCTCTAGTTTCCCATTTTCAGCAAGGATAAATCATAGCAGGACCAATTAATTTGCAAAATAAGTTTTAGTCACAATATACTTGGCCTGATTATTTGCATAAAGTGCAGCAAGAATAGTGATTGGCCATATAGGTTCGTTTAAATTGGCTTTGCTAGAACTTTTTTTTTTGTGAAAGTCTTGCCTGTCACCAGGCTGGAGTGCAGTGGAATGATCTTGGCTCACTGCAACCTCTGCCTACTGGGTTCAAGCGATTCTCCTGCCTCAGCCTCCCAAGTAGCTGGGATTACAGGCATGCACAACCACGCTCCTAAGTTCTGTATTTTTAGTGACAGGGTTTCACCATGTTGGCCAGGCTGATCTCAAACTCCTGGGCTCACCCACCCTGGCCTCCCAAAGTGCTGGGATTACAGGCGCTAGCCACTGTGCTTAGCCAGAAAGTGACATTCTTTTCTTGCTGCGAGAACAGAAAACTTGTAAAGGAGCTGCACAGACAAGGTACCATGTCAGTCTTTCCAGACGTTTTATTAGCTCTATAAAGTCAACTTCTATTCCTTTAAAATATTTTAAAAATTATTTAAAAAGTTATTTGTCTTTTCTTTTCTTTCCTTTTCTTTTCTTTTTGAGATGCAGTCTTGCTCTGTAGCCCAGGCTGGAGTGCAGTGGTGCGATTTCGGCTTGCTGCAGCCTCTACCTCCAGGGTTTAAGCGATTCTCCTGCCTCAGCCTCTGAGTAGCTGGGATTACAGGCACCTGCTACCACACCTGGCTAATTTTTGTACTTTTAATAGAGACAAGGTTTCACCATGTTGCCCATACTGGTCTCGCACTGCTGACCTCACGTGATCTGCCTGCCTTGGCCTCCCAAACTGCTGGGATTACAGGTGTGAGCCACTGCGCCCAGACTTATTTTTCTTTTTGAGACAGGGTCTCACTCTGTCACCCAGGCTGGAGTGCAGTAGCATGATCTTGGTTCACTGCAGCCTCAAACTCCCAGGCTCAAGCGATCCTCCCACCTCCACCTCCTGAGTAGCTGGGACCATAGGCATGCACCACCGTGCTTGGCTATTTTTTACATTTTTTTGTAGAGATGAGATCTCACTTTGTTGCCCAGGCTGGTCTCAAACTCCTGGACTCCCGTGGTAATCCTGCTTGGCCTCCCAAAGTGCTGGGATTACAAGTATGAGCCACCATGCCCATCCTAAATTATTTTTTGAGTAGACATGGGGTCTCACTATGTTGCTAGGCTGGTCTTGAACTCCTGATTTCAAGTGATTGTCCTGCCTCAGGCTCCCAAGGGGATTACAGGCATGGGCCCATGCCTGGCCTTAACTTCTATTCCTTAAAGCAGCCTGGGCATATCTAAAAATATGATATTCCTGTCAAAGCCTTGGTAAATCCAGTGTCTCCAATTGTGTCCTATTCCAAAATAAAACAGATTCTATTGAGTTTATGCAAATAGCTATATTGCAATAAATTAAGAATAATCACGGCCAGGTGTGGTGGCTCACGCCTATTATCCCAGTACTTTGGGAGGCCGAGGCAGGCAGATCACCTGAGGTTAGGAGTTCGAGACCAGCCTGGCCAACATGGCAAAACCCCGTCTCTACTAAAAATACAAAAATTAGCCAGGCGTGCTGGTGCGTGCCTGTAATCCCAGCTACTCAGGAGGCTGAAGCAGAAGAATCACTTTGAACCTGGGAGGTGGAGGTTGCAGTGAGCCGAGATTGTGCCACTGCACTCCAGCTTGGGCAACAGAGCGAGACTCTGTCTCAAAAAAAAAAAAAAAAAAAAGAAATTTTGTTATTTCTGTGGCATATAACAATTTAACATAATAATCACAATTATTACTGATTTAAGACATAACAGAATTTTAGGAATCTTACGGAATTTTGGAACACATATTAATAACGCATTTATACAAATATAACCTGAAGAAAGTTTTTTTTTTGGGGGGGGCGGTGGTGGTCTCACCCTCCCCACCAGGCTGGAGTGCAATGGTCCGATCTCAGTTCACTGCAACCTCCGCCTCCCAGGTTCAAATGATTCTCCTGCCTCTGCCTCCCAAGTAGCTGGCATTACAGGTGCTCACCACCATGCCCAGCTAATTTTTGTACTTTTAGCAGAGATGGGGTTTCACCACGTTGGCCAGGCTGGTCTCGAACTCCTGACCTTGTGATCTGCCCGCCTCGGCCTCTCAAAGTGTTGGGATAACAGGCGTGAGCCATCACACCCAGCCCTGTTTTTTTTTTGTTTGTTTGTTTTTGAGATGTAATCTTGCTCTGTCACCCAGGCTGGAGTGCAATGGCATGATCTCGACTCACTGCAATTTCTGCCTCCCTGCTTCAAGCAATTCTCCTGCCTCAGCCTCCCGAGTAGCTGGGATTACAGGCACCTGCCATCATGCCCAGCTAATTTTTGTATTTTTAGTAGAGATGGGGTTTTACCATGTTGGCCAGGCTGGTCTTGAACTCCTGACCTCAGGTGATCCACCCACCTTGGCCTCCCAAAGTGCTAGAATAACAGGTGTGAGCCACCGTGCCCGGCCAACCTGAAGAAAGTTAAATATCATTTCATATTTGACAATGCTTCCTGTATGATTTTTATATACCAAATAAGCCTGATATGGACTTCCAGGGCCCTAATAACCCCCAAAATTAGCCTGAGGTCAAAAGTATGAATTTTGAAATTTTGATTTTAAAAAGTTTGTCAAATAGCAAAGGTTTCAGACATTTGCTCAAAATAGGATCATAAGTTACTGTAAAATAATAGTGATTCATTTAACCAAGGTGATAATTCAAAGTTTTTTTTCTTTTTTTTTTTTGAGACAGTGTCTCACTCTGTTGCCCAGGCTGGGATGCAGTGGCACAATCTCGGCTTACTGCAACCTTCACCTCCCAGGTTCAAGCGAGTCTCCCACCTCAGCCTCCTGAATAGCTGGGATTACAGGTGCACACCACCATGCCCAGCTAATATCTTTGTAGTTTTGTAGAGACAGAGTTTTGCCTTGTTGGCCAGGCTGGTCTCGAACTCCTGACCTCAGGTGATCTGCCCGCCTCGGCCTCCCAAAGTGCTGGGTCAAAGATTTTAAAAAGCGAAAATCTTTACTCTTGGCCATTAGAGGACACACATATCAAAATAATTGGAATACTTCAGTGTTTTCCTGGCCTTCACATTTGTGACACTGCACCATCTACAGTTGTTTGCGTTATTTCCACCTCAAAGCCAGGACCCCAGCTGCATTTTAAGAACAGACACAGCTCTGAGATTTTAAAATGTCCACGTGTGGCATTATGATATATATTGGTTTTTGTCCATGGTCCTGGCTCATAATTCCCATAGCCCTTGTTATAGTCTTTTCTATAATATAATGTTGGGTGTTTCAGGAAACAGAATCTTTCTTTCTCCTGCCCTCCTTTCACCTGCCCCTAGACAGGACTCTAATATTCCCCTACTTTTCTGATTGTGGGTCTTAAGACCCTCACTTCAGAGACAGTCATGTCCCATACTCTGGAGGAAGGAATACTGAACAGAGAGGCCAAGAAGAATCTGAACAGATAGGCCTTGCTGGGTTTAGATCACATCCTTTTTGTCTAATCACATTTTGACATGCTTCGGTCATGGACAACCAATGAAGTCCCCATAAAAGGCCCAAAGGACAAGGTTCAGGGAGCTTCCAGGACAAGGTTCAGGGAGCTTCCAGAGAGCTGAACATATGGAGGCTGACAGGAAGATGCAGAAGAATTTATCCATGTGCCGGGAGGGTGATCAACACCAACTCCATGGGGACAAAAGCTCCCGTGCTCAGGACCCTTCCAGACCTCACTCTGTGTATGTCTTCATCTGGCTGTTTATTTGTATCCTTTAAAATATCCTTCCTAATAAACCGGTAAATGTGTTTCCCTGAGTTCTGTGAACCACTCTAGCAAATTAATCAAACCCAAAGTGGGGGTTGTGGGAACCCCAACTTGAAGCTGGTCAGTCAGAAGTTTCAGAGATCTGGACGTACAACTAGGGGGAAGGAGAGGACAGTTTTGTGGGACTGAGCCCTCAATCTGTGGGATCTGACACTGTATCTGGGTAGACAGTATCGCAGGATACCCAGCTGGCGTCTGCTGCTTGGTGTGTGGGGAAACCCCCCACACCTTTTTGGTCACAGAAATCTTCTATGTTGATAATTATTGTGGTGGTGTGAGAGCAGAGGAAAAACGTAGTTTGGGATCATTTTTCCTACATAGCACAGAAGGCCACAAAACTTGGCTGAACTCAAATAAAACTGAACAAAGGATGAGATAAATCCCACATAAATCCTGCCTTTTGGCCTTCACAAACTTGGCAAAGGAAACTTGCTGACCCCTCCAAGCCTTTTCACATCAAGTCCATTTGCCTAGGAAGCTCTCTCTAAGAGCTTAGAGAGCTAAGCTAAGCTTGTCCTCCTCTAAGATGTAGCTCAGATCCACCTATCCCAAGGTAAAGCCAGATAGGTCTTCCTTTCTGCTCCTATAATGCCCTACATATTTCTCTATTACAGCGCTTGTCATCTGTTTAATAATTATTTGATTACTTACTCTCTCCCACCTGTACTGTGAATTATTTAAGGGTAAAGATTTACTTTTGCTCATTTAATTATCTCCCATGCTGGGCAAAACAACTAATAGATATATAAATGTTTGTTAAGTAATTTACAGTCAGTATGTAAACACATGGTAAAAATCTTCAGTTAAGCAAATTCAGATGAAAATGATATAACATTTAAAAGTTATTTTTAAAGTTTAAAAGTTGCTGGACATAGTGGCTCATGCCTGTTATCCTAGCACTTTGGGAGGCCGAGGCGGGTGGATCACCTGAGGTCAGGAGTTCAAGACCAGCCTGGCCAAACTGGTGAAACCCCATCTCTACTAAAAATACGAAAATTAGCTGGGCATGGTGGTGGGCACCTGTAATCCCAGCTACTTGGGAGGCTGAGGCAGGAGAATTGCTTGAACCCGGGAGGCAGAGCTTGCAGTGAGTGGAGATTGCACCACTGCACTCCAGCCTGGGTGACAGAGTGAGACTCTGTCTCAAAAAAAAAAAATTAAAAAAAGAATAAAGTTTAAAAATCAATCAAAGTAATATACTCACATTGTTTAAAAAGTCAGATAATACCATAAGGCTTATGATTAAAAAATGTGATTCCCTATCCTTGCTCATCTTTAACCTCAAACCCCCTCCCCAAACATTTTTAGCCATTCTGGCGTTTACTTCCATTAAATAGACAATTTGCTTGTATACTTACTTTTTTTGACCTATCAATTTTAGACATTATCTTTTGAATTTCTGCTATGAAAGATGAGGATTTAGCCCTCTTTCATCACTCTAGATCTCTATTTTTCCCCTAATCTAGTTAAAATATATTTTTTCACTAAATCAAAATTTACTGAATTATTATGAATGTTGTTTACTGCTAAGCTAAATGATATACCATAATTACATTTCCTCATATACATTTTTCTTGCTGGAGATATTAATTTTTTTTATTTGCTAAATTTTCTCTCTCTCTCTCTTTTTTTTTTTTTTTGACAGAGTCTCACTCTTGCCCAGGCTGGAATGCAGTGGCACAATCTCGGCCCACTGCCACCTCCACCTCCTGGGTTCAAGCAATTCTCCTGCCTCAGCCTCCCAAGTAGCTGGGATTACAGGCACACACCACCATTCCTGGCTAATTTTTGCCTTTTTAGTAGAAATGGGGTTTCACCACGTTAGCCAGGCTGGCCTCGAACTCCTGACCTCAGGCAATCCACTGCCTTGGACTCCCAAAGTGCTGGGATTACAGGTGTGAGCCACCACACTCTGCCAATTTGCTCAATTCTCTATGTCACTATTTTCTACATGATTAAATATATCAGATAATTTATCTATTCCATTTATTTTCCTGAACATATAGCTCCCAAAGCCCTCTACTCTCCTAGTCCAATCTTGATGCATGCTGAACAGCTGTCATTCTAGGATTATCCTTTATCACCATCGTGAGGATTCTCTTTGACTCTGTTGTGTATTTCCTCTTTTTATCTTTTTATTATTATTTTTCTTTTTTCTAGTTTATATCTCCATGAAAAATATATTTCCTCTTTTAAGAATCTTAGATCTTTCTCTTTTTTGGGTTTACTCTCTGTTTTTCTTTTTCCTTTTTTTTTGACACAGGGTCTCGCTCTGTTGCCCAGGCTGGAGTGCAGTGGTACAATCATAGGTCACTGACACCTCCAACTCTTGGACTGAAGGGATCCTCCTGCCTCAGCCTCCTGAATAACTGGAACTACTGGCACATGCCACCATAACCAGCTAATTTTTTTTTTTTTTTTGTAGCGATGGGGTCTCCGTATGTTGCTCGGGCTGGTCTCGAACTCCTGGGTTCAAGTGATCCTCCTGCTTTGGATTCTCAAAGTGCTGGGATTACATGTGTGAGCCACTGGGCCTGGCCTGGGTTTACTCTCTCATTTTGGTGGCACACATCCTATAGTAGCTTCCCAAAACAAAGTTACACAAAGTAATTTTTTGGAGACTTTGCAAGTCTCAGTATGTCTTAATTTTCATTTCCCACTCGATTGGTAGTTTTCCAGATATAGAATTCTAAGTTGAAAAAAAGTTTTACACAGGATGTTTAAGGCATTGCTACTTTATATTCCTAGTGTTTGTTGTTAAGACATTTAATATCATTCAAATTATCTCTCTATCCCTTGTATGATACTATTATTTTTCCCCTAAAGCTGGAGCATACTTTCTTTATCTCCTAGTGTTCTTTTTTCTTTTCTTTTCTTTTCTTTCTTTCTTTCTTTTTTTTTTTTTTGAGACAGGATCTTGCTCTGTTGCCCAGGCTGGAGTGCAGTGGTGCCATCTTAACTCACTACAACCTCCACCTCCCGGGTTCAAGCCATTCTCCTGCCTCAGCCTCCTGAATAGCTGGGATTACAGGCTCCTGCCACCACATTGGGGTAATTTTTGTTATTTTTTTTTTAGTAGAGATGGGGTTTCACTCTGTTGGCCAGGCTGATCTTGAACTCCTGACCTCAAATGATCCTCCCACCTCGGCCTCCGAAAGGGCTGGGATTACAGGCGCGAGCCACCATGCCCAACCAGTTTCTGTCTTTTTAAATGGGGTCTTGCTATGTTGCTCAGCCTGGTCTCGAACTCCTGGCCTTGAGTGAGGCTCCTGCTTCAGCCTCCCAAAGTGCTGGGATTACAGTTGTGAGCCACCATGCCCAGCTGAGTTTATACCTTTAAAACAATCATTTGTTCTCACTGGGGCCGGGTGTGGTGGCCTGTAATCCTAGGACTTTGGGAGGCTGAGGTAGGTGGATCACTTGAGGTCAGGAGTTCGAGACCAGCCTGCCAACATGGAAAAACCCTGTCTCTACCAAAAAATACCAAAAAAAAAAAAAAAAAAAATTAGCCAGGCATGGTGGTACATGCCTGTAAGTCCCAGCTACTCAGGAGGCTAAGGTGGGAGAATCACTTGAACCCAGGAGATGGAGGTTGCAGTGAGCTGAGATCATGCCACTGCACTCCAGTGCAGGCAACAGAGTGCGACCCTGTCTAAAAAAAACAAAAACAAAACAAAACAAAAAAACCCCCAATCATTTGTTCTCCTTGTATTGATGTTTTGGGAGAGGAGAAGGGATAAGTATATGGTTACATGTGTTATGTTAGAACTGGCCCAATTGACCAGAAATTAAAACATTGAAATGATAACATCAATGGTGATAAGATTGTGGTGAAATCTTATGTGGGAAATCTGTTGTGGGAACTCATATGTTGTTGATATCAGTCTAAAGTAGTATAATCCCTTTGCAATATGGAAATCTGTTCCTATGTTTTTTTGTTCTTTTTTTTTTTTTTTTGAGACAGAGTCTCTCTCTGTCACCCAGGGCTGGAGTGCAATGGTGTGATCTTGGCTCACTGCAACCTCCGCCTCCTGAGTTCAAGCGGTTCTCCTGCCTCAGCCTCCCAAATAGCTGGGATTACAGGCGCCCGCCACCACACCTGGCTAATTTTTATATTTTTAATAGAGACGGGGTTTCACCATGTTGGCCAGGCTAGTCTCGAACTCCTGACCTCAGGTGATCCACCCGCCTCAGCCTCCCAAAGTGCTGGGATTACAGGCAGGAGCCACTGTGCCCAGCCTATTGCTATGGTGTTAATATGTCTCCCCAAAAGCATGTTTTGGAAACTTAATCCCCAATGCAAGTGTTGGGAGGTGGTGTCTAATGGGAGGCATTTAGGTCATGAGGGCTCCAACCTCATGAGTGGATTAATGCCAATTATAACAGGGTTTGAGGTTGCAAGTTTGCTGTCTTGCTCTCTCTCATCCTCTCTTGCCCTTCCACCTCTGCCAAAAGATAATGCAACACAAAGGCCCCCTTCAGATGCTGAACCCTCGGTCTTGGACTTCCTAGCCTCTAGAATTATAAGAAATAAATCTCTGTACTTTATAAATTGCCCAGTCTCAGGTATTCTGCTGTAGCAGCACAAAATGAACTAAGACATCTGTATTGAGTCATAAAAATGCTGTGACTTTTATTTTATTATTATCATTATTATTTTTTGAGACAGAGTTTTGCTCTTGTCACCCAGGCTGGAGAGCAATGGCACGATCTCTGCTCACTGCAACCTTGGCCTCCCAGATTTAGGTGATTCTCCTGCCTCAGCCTCTGGAGTAGTGGGGATTACAGGTGCGCACCACCATGCCCAGATAAATTTTTTGTATTTTTAGTAGAGACGGGGTTTCACAATGTCACCCAGGCTGGTCTTGAACTCCTGACCTCATGTGATCCAACTGCCTTGGCCTACCAAAGCGCTGGGATTACAGGCGTGAGCCACCATGTCCAGCCAATGCTTTGACTTTTAACTGGATATCCTTTGAATTTATTTATTATTTATTTATTTATTTATTTATTTATTTATTTATTTATTTATTTTGAGATGGAGTTTCTCTCTTGTTGCCCAGGCTGGAGTGCAATGGCATGATCTCAGCTCACCGCAACCTCTGCCTCCCAGGTTCAAGCAATTCTCCTGCCTCAGCCTCCCGAGTAGCTGGGATTACTGGCATGCGCCACCACACCAGGCTAATGTTGTATTTTTAGTAGAGACGGGGTTTCTCCATGTTGGTCAGGCTGGTCTTGAACTCCTGACCTCAGGTGATCCACCTGCCTCAGCCTCCCAAAGTGCTGGGATTACAGGTGTGAGCCACTTCGCCCCACCTCTATGAAATTATTATAAACAAACACGGTTGTTTGTATGTATGTATGTATTTATTTATGTGAGACTAGTCTCACCCTGTCACCCAGGCTGGAGAGCAATGGTGTGATCTCGGCTTACTGCAACCTCCACCTCCTGGGTTCAAATGATTCTCCTGCCTCAGCCTCCCGAGTAGCAGGGATTACAGGCGCCCACCACCGCGCCCAGCTAATTTTTGTATTTCTAGTAGAGATGGGGTTTCACCATGTTGGCCAGGCTGGTCTCGAACTCCTGACCTCGTGATCTGCCCGCCTTGGCCTCCCAAAGTGCTGGGATTACAGGTGTGAGCCACTTTGCCCAGCTGGTTGTTTATCTTAATGAAAAATTAGAGGCACAAAAAAATTTTTTTTTGAGATAGAGTCTCACTCTGTTGCCCAGGCTGGAGTGCAGTGGTGCGATCTCGGCTCACTGCAAGCTCTGCCTCCTGGGTTCATGCCATTCTCCTTCCCCAGCCTCCTGAGTAGCTGGGACTACAGGTGCCCACCACCACACCTGGCTAATTTTTTTGTATTTTAGTAGAGACAGGGTTTCACTGTGTTAGCCAGGATGGTCTCGATCTCCTGACCTCATGATCTACCCACCTCGGCCTCGCAAAGTGCTGGGATTACAGGCGTGAGCCACCGTGCCCGGCCAAGAGTCACAAAAATTTACATCAACCCCAGAATGTTCAAATTCAGTAGATTCTAGCATATCCAGTTGATAATATTATATAGTAATTATTTAAAAATATGAGGCCAGGTGCTTTGCTTCATGCCTGTAATCCTAGCACTTTGGGAGGCCAAGGCAGGAGGATGGCTTGAGCCCAGGAGTTTTAGACCAGACAGGGCAACATAGTAAGACCTTATCTCTATAAAAAATATACAAAAAATATGAATTACATTTAAATCAAACATAACAATAAGTGCAATGAAAAGGGCACAAACATATGTTCCCGTGGATAAGCAATGTAAACTTTATATATCTATTAAGGGAACATGCAAAAATAAAACCAGTTGTTTTAACAAGGTAGAATTAGGGAGGTTTTATTTTTGCTTGTTTCTTTCTTTCTTTCCTGTTTTTAGAAACAGGGTCTTGCTCTGTCACCCAGGCTAGAATGCAGTGGCGCGATCATAGCTCACTGTAACTTCAAACTCCTAGGCTCAAGGGATTCTTTTGCCTCAGCCTCCTGCGTAGCTGAGACTACGGGTGCGTGCCACCATGCCCAGCCAATTTTTTTATTTTTAGTAAAGACAGGGCCTCTCTATGTTGTCCAGGCTGGGCTTGAACTCCTGTCCTCAAGCGATCCTCCCACCCTAACCCCCACCTCCACTGTTTCTTTTTTTTAAAAAAATCATTTTATGTTGTTATAGAAATGTTTCCATAATTAAAAGATTAAAAAAAAACCCTCAAGCCCAAAGCTGACAAAAATCATAGTGATTGTGCCTACCAGGCCTCTAAGATGAAGATGGAAACTAAACCATTCAGTCAAACATCTGAAAGTTTCAGAACTGCCAGGTCTTTGATGTTGGGTAGACTAAACAACCAGATGTTTGACTGAAGTTTTCATTTTCATCTGAAAGGCTGACATCATGCAACTATAGCCTGAGTTCATAACTGATGTCAGTTACCATAAGGTTCAATTAATTGCTAACATGGCCCCAGGCAGCTCTCCTGGCTTTCCTCATTTGGTACTCAAAAATATCGTCTTTGACTTGCTCTTAGCTTTAGGTGTTACCATAACTCTTTCATTAGTCTTCATTATCTAAAGAATAAAGGCTAAACTGCTTAACCCTTCATAATGTGGCTCCAACTGACTTCACCAGCCCCGTCTCTAATCATTTCCTTCCCTGACAAAGTCTATATTCTCCAGATGCTAGAGATACAGTCCTTGACCCTCAAAATATTCATAGTTTTATTGTCGTTGGCTAGTGGATACCACTATTATCATTCATGTAGCTATTATGTGCTAGAGTGCTAGGGCTTTGTATACACTATTGAGTTTAATCTTCACTGTAACCTCTTGTGGCATTATTATTTTCATTTTACCAGTGAAGAAAGAGAGGCTCAGAGAAGTAAAATATCTTGCTCAAAGTCATAACCATTAAGTAACAGAGCCAAGATTAAGCCTATTGGATTCCAAAGCCTGTGTTCTTAATTACAACACCACAGAGACATGTATACTAATACATTTACTAAGGTATTTGGGTGGCTACAGTAGACTTATGGAGAGAATGAGAACTATGAAATGACAGGAAACAGGTGGAAACAGGCAAAGGTTTAGTCCAAGAACCATTTATAGAGTGCTTGATATGTGCTGGGCCCTATGGCTAGTCCTAGGGACACAGAGAAGTCAAATATCATTTCTACCCTGAAGGAGAAACCAGACACCTAAAATTAGGTAGAAAGCATAGGTGTTCTAGAAATGGAGCCAGCAGGAGGAATGGTGACATACATGTCCAGGGCATAGCTGGGATACATGGTCTCAGTCCAAAAGTATGGGAAAAGGGGAGAGATTCAGTGAGATCCCAGGTGTCAAGTGACTTAGAGAGAGTGCCCCAGGAAGATCTCTATCTCTCCACAGGAGTATTTGGGAGGTGAGGAAAGAGTAAAAATTGTTACCCCATGAGAATCAAGAAAGCACTGAAGGATAAAACAGGCACAACTCCTTAAAACAACAATAACAATTCATTTATTCTACTAGTTCCTATCCTGTGCCAGCTGTCAGGTGGGCCCTAGGGATTCAGAGAAGAGTCAGACACAGTCCTTCCCTGTAGCGGTCATTGAGGCTGACGCATTCTCTCTATAAATACGTATGGAAAACTTACTATGTGTGAGGCATTGTTCTAGGCACTGCGGATACATCAGTGAACAGAACTGACGTGCCTTCATGGAGCTTAGCTTCTGTTAGGAAGAAACAGGCAGATAACGCATAAAGAAAGAACATATATATTATATCAGATGGTGAGAAGGGCCAGAAAAAAAATAAAGCAAGAAAGGAGGATAGGAAGTATCAATGAGATAGAGGAGTCCAGGAAGGCCCCTCTGAAAGTTTATATTTAAGCAAAGACCTTGTATTTTCACAAAGAGGAAAGCATTCCAGTTATAGGGAAGAACGAGTGCAAAGACCCTGCGGCTGGAGTATGCTTGGTGTAATTTGGAAACAGCAAGGAGGCTAGATTAACTGAAGCAGAGTAAATATTATAATAATTTTGAGGCCGGGCGCGGTGGCTCATGTCTATAATCCCAGCACTTTGGGAGGCCTAGGTGGGTGGATCACTAGAGGTCAAGGGTTCGAGACTAGCCTGGCCAACATGGTGAAACCCCGTCCCTACTAAAAATACAAAAATTACCTGGGTGTGGTAGTTTGCACCTGTAATCCTAGCTACTCGGGAGGCTGAAGGAGGAGAATTGCCTGAGCCTGGGAGGCAGAGGTTGCAGTGAGCTGAGATTGCACCATTGCACTCCAGCCTGGGTGGCACAGTGAGACTCCTTCTCAAAAAAAAAAAAAAAAAAATGGAATTTTGACTTTTCTTCTGAAAGAGATGGGTAGCCATTGGAAGGTTTTGAACCAAGAAGTCTTATGGTCTACTTTATGATATCACATTTTCATTGTGTTTTTTGTGTTGGTAATAGACTGAAGGAGGAAAAAAGTAGAAGGAAGTAGGGAGATCAGCTAGGAAGCTATTGCAACGGTTCAGAACAGAGATGATGGCGGCTGGGTTCAGGGTGATATCAGTAAAGGTAGTAAGTGGTCTGATTACAGATACAAGCATACCTTGTTTTTTGTTTTTTTGTTTTTGTTTTTGTTTTTGTGAGACAGAGTCTCACTCTGTTGCCCAGGCCGCAGTGCAGTGGTGCGATCTAGGCGCACCACAACCTCCGCCTCCCGGGTTCAAGCAATTCTCCTGCCTCAACCCCCCAAGTAGCTGGGATGACAGGCGTGTACCACCATGCCTGGCTAATTTTTGTAATTTTAGTAGAGACGGGGTTTCACCATGTTGGCCAGGCTGGTCTTGAACTCCTGACCTCGTGATCTACCTGCCTTGGCCTCCCAAAGTGCTGGGATTACAGGCATGAGCCATCACGCCCAGCCGCATACCTTGTTTTTATTGTGCTTCACTTTATTGTGCTTTGTAGATATTGTGTGGTTTTTTTTCCCCACAAATTGAAGGTTTGTGGTAACCCTTCATCCAGCAAGTCTATTGGTGCCATTTTTCCGGTAGCATGTGCTGACTTCATGTCTTTGTGTCACATTTTAGTAATTCTCACAATATTTAAAACTTTGCCTTAGCTGGTTGTGGTGGCATGCACCTGTAGTCCCAGTCGCTCAGAGGCTGAAGCTGGAGGATTGCTTGAGTCCAGGAGTTTGAGGCTGCAGTAACGCTATGATTATGCCACTGCACCCCTGCCTGGGTGACACAGCGAGACTCTTGTCTCTAAAAAAACCCAAACATAGCCGAGTGCGGTGGCTCATGCCTATAGTCCCAGCACTTTGGTAGGCCAAGGCAGGTGGATTACCTGAGCTCAGGAGTTTGAAACCAGCCTGTGCAACATAGTAAGACCTCCACATCAATTTATTTATTTATTTATTTATTTTTTTAATTTTATTTTTTTTGAGACAGAGTCTCGCTCTGTCGCCCAGGCTGGAGTGCAGTGGCGGGATCTCGGCTCACTGCAAGCTCCGCCTCCCGGGTTCACGCCATTCTCCTGCCTCAGCCTCCCAAGTAGCTGGGACTATAGGCGCCCGCCACTACGCCCGGCTAATTTTTTGTATTTTTAGTAGAGACGGGGTTTCACCGTTTTAGCCAGGATGGTCTCGATCTCCTGACCTCGTGATCCGCCCGCCTCGGCCTCCCAAAGTGCTGGGATTACAGGCGTGAGCCACCGCGCCCGGCCTCCACATCAATTTATTAAAAAAAAAGAAAAGAAAACCAAACATACAAAAAAACTAATACAACTTTGTCATTATTATTATCTGTTATGGTGATCTGTGATCAGTGATCTTTGATGCTACTATTGAAATTGTTTTGGGAGTGCTACAAGCTGTGCCCATATAAAATGGTGAACATAATCAGTAAATGTTGTATGTGTTCTGACTGCTCCACCAACCAGCATTCCCCTGTGTCTCTCTCTCCTCAGGCCTACCTATTCCCTGAGACATGACAATATTGAAATTAGGCCAATTAATAATCCTACAATGGTGTCTAAGTAAGTGTTAAGTGGAAAGAAGAGTCGCATATTTCTCACTTTGTTTTTATTACTTATTTTTAAATTTTTGATATTTATTTATTCATTTATTTATTTATTTTTGAGACAGAGCCTTGCTCTGTCACCCAGGCTGAAGTGCAATGGCACAATCTTGGCTCACTGCAACCTCCACCTCCTGGGTTCAAGCAATTCTCTTGCCTCAGCCTCCCAAGTAGCTGGGATTACAGGCACCTGCCATCGCACCCGGCTAGTTTTTTGTATCTTTAGTAGAGACGGGGTTTCACCATGTTGGTCGGGTTGGTCTCGGAACTCCTGATCTCAGGTGATCCACCCGCCTCAGCCTCCCAAAGTGCTGGGATTACAGGCATGAGCCACCACTCCCGGCCATATTTACTTTTTTTTTTTTTGGAGATGAGGTCTCACTGTATTGCCCAGGCTGGTCTTGAACTCCTGAGCTCAACCGATCCTCCTGCTTCGGCCTCTCCAAGTGCTGGGACTACAAGCATGAGCCACTGTGCCCAGACTATTTAATGTTTTGTAGAGATGGGGGGTCTTGCTATTTTGCCCAAGCTGGTCTTGAACTTCTTGCCTTAAGTGATCCTCTTGTCTTGTCTCCCAAAGCACTGGGATTACAGGAGTGAGCCACTGTGCCTGGCCATTTCTCACTATAAATCGAAAGCTAGAAATTATTGTTTAGTGAGGAAGGCATGTCAAAAGCAGAGATAGGCTGAAAACTAGGCCTCTTGTGACAGTTTGCAAAGTTGTGAATGCAAAGGAAAAGTTATTGAAGGAAATTAAAAGTGTTGGCCAGGTGCGGTGGCTCACGCCTGTAATCCCAGCACTGTGGGAGGCTGAGGCAGGTGGATCACCTGAGCTTAGGAGTTTGAGACCAGCCTGGCCAACATAGTGAAACCCCATCTCTACTAAAAATATAAAAAATTAGCTGGGTGTGGTGGCAGGTGCCTGTAATCCCAGCTACTAGGGAGGCTGAGGCAGGAGAATCGCTTGAACCTAGGAGGAAGAGGTTGCAGTGAGCCGAGATCGTGCCATTGCACTCCAGCCTAGGCAACAAGAATGAAACTCCGTCTTAAAAAAAAAAAAAAAGATGTTGATGGGCATGATGCACATGTGTAATCCCAGCTACTTGGGAGACAGGCCAGAGGGTCACTTGAGCCCAGGATTTTGAGACCAGCCTGGGCAACATTTATTGTTATTTGTTTGAGACTGTCTCAAATAAATAAATAAATAAATAAATAAATAAAATGCTACTCCAGTGAACATATGAATAATAAGAAAGCAAAACTGCCTTATTGCTGATATGGAGAAAGTGAGAGTGATCTGGATAGAAGATCAAACCAGCTACAATATGCCTTTAAGCTGAAGCCTAATCCAGAGCAATTCTATGAAGGCGAAGGGAGATGAGGAAGCTTCAGGAGACAAGTTTTAAGCTAGAAGAGGTTGGTCCATGAGGTTTAAGAAAAGAAACCATATCCATGACATATAAGTGCAAGGTGAAGCAGCAAGTGCTGATGTAGAAGCAGCAGCAAGTTATTCAGAAGATCTGGCTGAGATAGTTGATGAAGGTGAGTACACTAAACAACAGATTTTCTTTTCTTTTCTTTTCTTTTTTTTGACATCACTGATCTGAAGGCAAAACAACAGATTTTCAATGTAGATGAAACAACTTTCCATTGGAACAAGATGCCATCTAGAACTTTTATAGCTAGACAAAAGTCAATGCCTGGCTTCACAGCTTCAAGGGAGTGGCTGACTCTCTTGCTAGGTGCTAATGCAGCTGGTGACTTTAAGTTGAAGCCAGTTCCTCATCGATCATTCTGAAAATCCTAAGGCCTTTGAGAATTATGCTAACTCTACTCTGCTTATGCTCTAGAAATGAAACAACAAACTCTGGATGACAGCACACCTCTTTTTTACAGTATGGTTTCATATATATATATATATATTTTTTTTTTTTTTTTTTTTTTTTTTTTGAGACAGAGCTTTGCTCTGTTGCCCAGGCTGGGGTACAGTGGTACGATCTCGGCTCCTGGGTTCAAGCAATTCTCCTGTCTCAGCCTCCTGAGTAGCTGGGATTACAAGCGTGTGCCACCATGCCTGGCTAATTTTTGCATTTTTAGTAGAGACGGGGTTTCGCCATGTTGGCCAGGCTGGTCTTGAACTCCTGATCTCAAGTGATCCCCCCACCTAGGCCTCCCAAAGTGCTGGGATTACAGGCGTGAGCCACCATGCGCAGCCTGTATATATTTTTTGAGACGGTCTTGCTCTGTGATTCAGGCTGGAGTGTAGTTGCACAATTACAGCCCACTGCAGCCTTGATCTCTTGGACCAAGTGATCCTTCCACCTCAGTCTCCTGAGTAGCTGGGACCACAGGTATGTGCCACCACACCCAGCTAATTATTTTATTTTTTATACTTCCTTATAGTTTTATATTTTAGCTACGAAGGTCAGTTACCAGAGCCAAAGTTGTTCTTAACAAGCAGAATTTGTTGAATATGTCCATTCAAAGGGTCTCTTACACCTTTCTGGGCCTTTTCACTTGCAGAGAGGAGTAGAAACTGTAGCCAGATTCTTCGTATTATGCATTCACACATGATGCCCAATCTTCATATGCTGTCCAATTTCTTTAAGATAAAAGGAGTGACTTGCAGTAGGGCCATGTAGCTGAGGAAGTTCAGTATGGAGGAGATCACATCTTTGCATGTCTTCTGTTCTGTTTCATCTCCTCCAGGTCCAGCTTCGGTGTGAGGCCCTCAATCCAGAACATCATGGCTCTGACTCACCAGCCTTCAGCTGCTGCACTCTGCTCTCCTCAGTGGCTGCCTTGCACCTGGAACTCAATTTTTTTTTATTTTTATTTTTTTGAGATGGAGTCTTGCTCTGTAACCCAGGCTGGAGTGCAATGGCGCAATCTCGGCTCACTGCAACTTCCACCTCCCGGGTTCAAGTGCTTCTCCTGCCTCAGCCTCCTGAGCTGGGATTACAGTTGTCCACCACCATGCCCAGCTAATTTTTGTGTGTTTTTTTTTTAGTAGAGACAGGGTTTCACCATGTTGGCCAGACTGGTCTTGAACTCCTGACCTCAGGTGATCCGCCTGCCTTGGCCTCCCAAAGTGCTGGGATTACAGGCATAAGCCACCACACCCAGCCAATTTTTTAATTTTTTAAATTTTTTGTAGAGACAGGGTCTTGCTATGTTGCCCAGGCTGATCCTCAAACTCCTGGCATCAAGAGACACTCCTGACTCCACCTCCTAAATGCTGGGATTAGAGATGTGAGCCATTGTTCCTGGCCCCTATTGAATTTTTTAGTCCACTGTTGAGACCTATTGATCAGAAAAAAGGTTGCTTTCAAAAGGTTATTACTAAAAAAAAAAAAAAAGAAGAAGAAGAAGAAAGAAAAAAGATTACAAAGATTACTGCTCATACTCATTCACAATGCATTTAGTCACCCAAGAGCTCTAATGGAGATGTACAAGGAGATGAATGTTGTTTTCATGCCTGCTAATACACATCCTTTCTGCAGCCCATGGATCAAGGAGTAATTTAAACCTGCAAGTCTTATTATTTAAAATTACATTTCATAAGGCTATAGCTGCCATAGATAGTGATTCTGCTGATGGATTTGGGCAAAGTACATTGAAAACCTTCTGGAAAGGATTCACCATTCTAGATGCCATTAAGAATATTTGTGGTTCCAGGGAGGAAGCCAAAAACCAACATTTACAGGAGTTTGGAAGAAAGTGACTCTATAACTCATGGATGACTTTCAGAGGGGCTCAAGACTTCACTAGAGGAAGTAACTGCAGGTATGATAGAAGTAGCAAGGGAACTAGAATTAGAAATGGAACCTGAAGATGTGACTGAATTGCTGCAATCTCATGATAAAATTTAAATGGATGCAGAGTTGTTTCTTATGGATGAGCAAATAAGTGATTTCTTCTTCTTTTCTTTTTTTTTTTTTGAGGTGGAGTCTCGCTCTGTCACCCAGGCTTGAGTGCAGTGATGTGATCTCTGCTCACTGCAACCTTAACCTCCCAAGCTCAAGCGATTCTCCTGCCTCAGCCTCCCAAGTAGCTGGGATTACAGGTGTCCACCACCATGACTGGCTAATTTTTGTATTTTTAGTGGAGACAGGGTTTCACCATGCTGACCAGGCTGGTCTCGGACTCCTGACCTCAAGTGATCCTCCTGGCTTGACCTCCCAAAGTGCTGGGATTACAGGTGTGAGCCACCATGCCCAGCCTCTTTTTTTTTTTTTTTTTAAATAGAGACAGAGTCTCACTGTGTTGCCCAGGCTGGCAATCATGGCTCACTGCAACCTTGACCTCCTAGACTCAAGCCATCCTCCTGGTTCAACCTTCCAAGTAACTAGTACTACATGTGTGCACCACCCTGCTCAGCTAATTAAAAATAATTTTTGTGAGGAGATGGGGGTCTCACTATGTTGCCAAGGCTGGTTTAGAATGCCCAAGCTCACGTGATTCTCTCACTCTGGACTCCCAAAGTTCTGGGATTACAGGTGTGTGCCATCGTGCCTAGCCAGAAAGTGGTTTCTTGAGATGGAATCTACTCCTGATGAAGATACTGTGAAATGTAGAATGGTAGAAATGACAACAAAGGATTTAGAATATGACATAAACTTAGTTGATAAAGCAGCAGCAGGGTTTGAGAGGACTGAGTCCAATTTTGGAAGATATTCTACTATGAGTAAAATGCTATCAAATAGTACTGCATACTACAGATAAATCTTTCATGAAAGGAAGTGTCAATTCATGCGGCAAATGCTACATTGTCTTATTTTAAGAAATTGTCACAGCTGGCATGGTGGCACACACCTGTAATCCCAGCTACTTGGGAGGCTGAGGCAGGAGAATCGCTTGAACCCAGGAGGCGGAGGTTGCAGTGAGACGAGATCGTGTCATTGTACTCCAGCCTGGGCAACAAGAGGGAGACTCGGTCTCAGAAAAAAAAAAAAAAAAAAAAAAAAGAAAAGAAATTGTCACAGCCACCCCACCCTTTAGCAAATACCACCACCCTGATCAGTCAGCAGCCATCAACATGGAGCCTCCACCAGCATAAAGATTATGACTTGCTGAAGGCTCAGATGATTGTTAGCATTCTTTTTTTAGGAATAAAGTATTTTGGGGCCAGATGCAGTGGCTCACACCTGTAAGCACTTTGAGAGGCTGAGGTGGGCAGATCGCTTGAGCTCAGGACTTTGAGACCAGCCTGGGCAACATGGCAAAACCCCATCTCAGGCTGGGAGCGGTGGCTCACGCCTGTAATCCCAGCACTTTGGGAGGCTGAGGCGGGTGGATCACTTGAGGTCAGGAATTTAAGACCAGCCTGGCCAACATGGCAAAACACTGTCTCTACTAAAAATGCAAACATTAGCCAGATGTGGTGGCACGTGCCTGTAATCCCAGCTACTCAGGAGGCTGAGGCAGGAGAATCACTTGAACCTGGGAGGTGGAGGTTGCAGTGAGCTGAGATTATGCCACTGCACTTCAGCCTGGGCAACAGAGTGAGACTCCATCTCAAAAAAGAAAAAACTCTACAAAAAATACAAAAATTAGCCTGGTGTGGTGGTGCACACCTGTGATCCCAGCTACTTGGGAGGCTGAGTTGGGAGGATCACTTGAATCCAGAAGGTGGAGGCTGCAGTGAGCCAAGATCACACCACCGCACCCCAGTCTGGGTGACAGAGCTAGACCCTGTCTCAACAACAACAACAACAACAACAAAAAGTATTTTAAAATTAAGATAAGTACATTTTTTTTCTTTTCTTTTCGAGATGGAGTTTTGCTTTTGTTGCCCAGGCTGGAGTGCAGTGGCGTGATCTTGGCTCACTGCAACCACTGCCTCCCGGGTTCAAACGATTCCCCTGCCTCAGCCTCCCAAGTAGTGGAGATTACAGGCGCCTGCCCCGCACCTGGCTCATTTTTATATTTTTAGTATAGACGAGGTTTCACCATGTTGTCCAGGCTGGTCTCGAACTCCTGACCTCAAGTGATCCACCTGCCTCACCCTCCCAAAGTGCTGGGATTACAGGTGTGAGCCACTGTGCCTGGCCAATAAGTACATTTTTAAAGACAGAATGCTATTGTGCACTTAATAAACTATAGTAGAAACATAAGTTTTCTATGTACTGGGAAACCAAACCAAAAAATTTGTGTGACTCACTTTATTGCTATATTCACTTTATTGTGATGGTCTGGAACTGAACCCACAATATCTTTGAGGTATGCCTCTGTACCATATTTTAAAGGTAGAGCTTAGTAAGATTTTGCTGACAGGTCAAATTCAGGTGTGAAAGAGTAAAGTCAAATGTTATACCAAGGTTTAACCATAAGGAAATGAAAGACTGGAATTGTTTACTTTGAAGAATGAGACTGAGGAAGAAGCAGGATTCAAGGGAAAGATCTGAAGCTCAGTTTGGACATGCTAAGCTTTATATGCATTTTAAATATTCAGGTGGAGCTGCTAAGTAGGCAGTTTGACACATGAGTTGTAGTTCAGGGGAGAGATCCAGGCTAGAGATAAAAATGTGGGATCTATCAGTACGTAGATGATATTTGAAGTCACAGGACTGAATGAGGCTGCCCAGGGAGCAAGTACATACAAGAGAAAAGTGCAAGGAATGAGCTTCAGGAACTCCAACATTTAGAGGTCAGTATATGGGCAACCAGAAAGGGAGACTGAGGGGGAATTATTCAAATTAGATTAAGTGAAAAAAGCCAGGCACAGAAAGACAAATATTGCATGTTCTCACTCATATGTGAGAGCTGTAAAATGTTGATCTCATAGAGGTGGAGAGTGGAATGATAGTTACCAGAGGCTGGGTGGGGGTAGGAGGATGCCGAGAGATTTGTTAACGGGTACAAACATATGGTTAGATAGAAGGAATAAGTTCTAGAGTTTGGCAGCACAGTAGGGTGAATATAGTTAACACCAATGTGCTGTATATTTCCAAATAGCTAGAAGAGAAGATTTGAAACGTTCTGGACAAAAATAAATGATAAATATTTGAGGTGATGCATATCCTAAATACCCTGATTTGATCATTACACATTGTATGCATGTATCAAAGTATGACATGTACCACACAAATATGTACAATTATCATGTATTAATAAAAAAGTAAAAAAAGTAATTAGCATGAACCTAAAAAAAAGAATAGAAAGAAAACAAGGAGAGGGTAGATTCTAGCAGTCAAATGAAGGAGGCACTTCTAGGTAAAGGGAGTAATCAATTCAATCATGTGCTGCTGAGAATTGACCCTGGGACTTAACAACATGGAGGCCATTTGTGGTCTTGACAAAAGCAATTCCAATGGGATATTGGGTCACAGCCAGATTGGGAAAGTCTAAGTGAGACTTAGAGGAAAGGAAGTGGACACAGTGAGATTAGATAAGACTTTTGAGGACTTTTCAGTAAACGGGAGCAGGAAATAGGATTGAAATTGGAAGGGTATGTGGAGTCACGGGAGGGTGATTTTTAAAATGGGAGAAATAATAGCACTTGTGTGTGTGTGTTTATGTGCTTATAGGAATGGCCTAGTACAGGGTTTCTCAATTTGGGACTGACATTTTAGGCAGAATAATTCTTTGTTAAGAAGGGCCATCCTCTGCATTGTAAGATGTTTAGAAAGCTTCTTAGCATTCTGTCCACTAGAGGCCAGTAGTGCGCCCTGCTTCTTTCCTGGGTTGTGATAACCACAAGAGTCTCCAGAAATTGCCAAATGTCTCTTGTGGAAGGGGGATGGCAAAATTATTCCTGATCTAGTAATAAATAAATAAATAAATAAATAAATAAAATAAAAAATATTGGTGATGCAGAATATAGAATGGAAGAATTGCTGGGGGAAATTTCTTTGAGTTGATGGGAAGGGATGGAATCTACTGCATAATAAGAATGGGTCTGCTAGATCACAGACTGCATCCACATTAACAGAGAAAGCAGAGGTGTGAGCACTGATGTAGCTAGGAGTTAGATGGGGGTGATGGGAACATATGGAAATTCCCCTCTAGTTGCCTGTGTTTTCTCGGTAAAATAAGCAAAGTAAGCAGCTGGAAAACAAGCACTGAAAAGAAGGTAAGTCACCATAGCATTTGCAGGAAAAAACAAAAAAATCAAAAGGAGGTATTGAAAGTTTTAGGAGACAGGAGATCTCATGGAGGTCATCTCAGAGAATGAAACATAAAATGGACTGGAGAAATACGTTGTAATTGCTAAGCAGCTTTACTATTCAGCAGTAAAGACATTAAGCGTAGAGTAAGACTAATTAACATTGGTATGTATTTTTCTCCAGTCCTACTCCAGGTCTTGGTCCAGGTACTGAGTAAGCAGAGAGTTGGATACAAGCAGAACTGCAGATTTGCCAAGAGAGTACCATGAAGTGAAGGGAGCAAGGGAGTCCAGGGGATATGCAAGAGAGTGATTATAATGATTGACCATGATATTTAAGCTGGATATAGAAGAATTTGTGTAGGGGATGGAAGATTGTGAAAAGGAATGTGGTAAGATCATCAGTGGCATATAGGTCCCTGTGGGATTGGAAGATTGTTGGAGTTGATATTAAAAAAGTGAGCTGGAAATATAGAAAGTCAGAGGGTGGGATCCCTGAAATTGAAATTATGGAGAGACACATTTATTGGTAGGGACAAGGTCTAGGGTATGAACATGGTAGTGAGTTTCAGGGCAGGGTCACAAAAGCAGATACACAGAGACATAAGGTATCCAATTCTGGGGGCTGAGGAGTTACAGCAAGACCTTACTGCAGTAACTAACATAAAAGGTCACCAACTTCCACTCTACCTTAGATGATCAGCCAAACTATTTATGGGAACATCATCCCCCTTGCTAGTGAGTGATTTAGGGATGGCCAAGTGGACAAGGGAAAGTATTGTGGGGAGCTTCTGGAAAATACTTCCTTATTCTACAGAAAGAAGAAGTTCCTCTTCTTCCTCTGGATTTTGTGATGCTTGAAACCTCTGTAGCCATCCTGTTACCAGCCTGAAGATGAAGCTAATGGTGAAAAAGGCAGATAAAGGGAAAATACGTGGGCTCTTTTTTTCTTTTCTTTTCTTTTTGTTTTTTTTGAGACCAGGTTGTCCAGGCCGGAGTGCTGTGGCTCCATCACAACTCACTGTAGCCTCAAACTCCTGGGCTCAAGCTATCCTTCCACCTCAGCCGCCTGAGTAGCTGGGACTAGAGGTGTGTGCCACCACACTCTGTTAATAATAATAATAAAAATATATAGAGACATGGTCTTGCTATGTTGCCCACGTTGGTGACCTCCTGGCCCCAAGTGATTCTCCTCCCTCAGCCTCCCAAAGTGCTGGGATTATAGGCATGAGCTACCATGCCTGGCAGACAGGGACAGTATTTCATCCTGAAGAAATTAGAGAGCCAAGGGAAGGGTTTTGGCAGGCTAAACAAACAAAAGGTTTGTTTAGGTTTTGAGGATAAGCATTTTCAAAAGGGAAATTCTTTTTCTCTGCCTTTTCCTGTAAGTAAAATTCCTATTGATTTCAAAAATCTACTCATTCATTCAGTAACTATTTACTAAGCACTTACCATGTGCCAATGAAAGTTACAGGAACTTAGGATACAGTGATGGACAAAACAAACATTCCTGACACCATGGATCTTTTGTCCTGTTCAAGCCAGATAGTACCTTCTCCAAGATGTCTGCCTGAAGTCTCTCAATCATACTTGCTATTTCCTTCTGCTTTTATGGCGCATTGTACTATGTTAATGACATTTATTGTAGTCTGCTTCAAGTTGGAGCCATGCTTCAAATGTTAAATATCTTCCACACTACACCAGGGGGTTCTTGAGTTTAGTGTCTACGTTATTAAACTGTCTCCCAAGAGCAGAATTGGTTTGGAGCAAGTAGAAGTGGATCTTGGTTGAATGAGCAAATTATTCTGTCTACAGCCTGAAGGGGTTAGTCCTACATGGTGGAGCTTTTATTGCAGCCGCTGCCAGGCATTCATTTGGAGGAATTGGGAGCCAATCTGTCATGGGCTTAGGCGATCTGGGAGCTGTATAGAAATGACATTCTCAATGAGTGATTATTACTGATAAGTGATAACAAAGTTCATTTGTATGACTATGGGCATAATAGGAAATGAAGGTCTGGATAATTCTATTATGAAATTCAAATAGCTGTCCAGTTTAATGAATGTAAATGGCTCTTTGATGAAGACATGGAATGATGCCAGTGAAAATGGTGACTGCAAGTAAGAAAATTTTTCTTTGGTTTAAACTTCAAAGACTGAATAACTGGGTCTTATATTTGTTTCCATATTTCACAAATTATTGAAATTTAGAGGAAAGATCTCTGATTTTCTTTAAAAAAGGATTACTGTAAAAACCTAAAGCAATTGTTTCTGCTGGATGTCAAATAGTTGCTGTTGTGTTGCTGCACAACCAACAGAGGGAGCCCTTGCCATAGAACCTAATAACTTCCTTACAGAGTTTGTACATTGGTAGAAAGCCAATGGAAGAACAGAAAAAATAAAAAGAATAGAGGAGTTAAGATGTTAAACAATTTGGTTTTAAACTGTATTGTGAATCTGGAATCTCTTTTATGAAACTGGGTTTGGGGGATTACAGATATTTCAAAAGAGTGTGTACGTGTATTGGATTTTTTAAAAGCTCTTTACATACTGCCATAGTGATCATTTATCTTTAAAGCACACAATTATATTACTCTTCTGCTTAAAACTCTCCAATGGTGTCTTCATCACTCATATGACAAATCCAACCTTATGGGGTTGTAAAGATTAAAGCAGATAATATATAGCATAATGCCTGGCGCATAGCTAAATTATCAGTAAATTCTTAGCTATTATTTTTTACTACTGTGTCTTTTACTGTACTGATGGTTCAGACTCGATGCTTTCCAAATGGCCCCATTCCTACTCTGGCTTTAATCTGCTTAACTCCCTTCTTGTCCTAGAGGTTTCAGGACCTCAGAAATCTTGCCTCACTTACAGTGTGGGAGCTCTTTTGGTACATATCATATTGTAATGATTTGCTCACATGTCTCTCCGACTTGAGAGCAGAAGTCATATCTCATAAGTTGTTCTGTCTCCAGGGCCTAGTAATAGAGCAACCAACTGTCCAGGTTTGCTTGGGATTATTCCAGTTTTGTTTTGTTTTTTTGAGATGGGGTCTTGCTATGTTGCCCAGGGCTGGGCTCAAGCAGTCCTTCTGCCTCACCCTCCTGAGTAGCTGGGATTATGGGCACACACCACCAGACCCCAGGCTATTTTTTGTTTTTTAGTTTTGTTTTTTGGAAAAAAGGCAAACACATTTATTCTTTTTTTTTTTTTTTGTAGAGACGAGGTTTTTCTATGTTGCTCAGGCTTGTCTCGGACTCAGCTCAAGTGATCCACCTGCCTTGACCTCCCAAAGTGCTGGGATTACAGGCATAAGCCACTGTGCCCAGCTCATACAAATTTATTAACATGTACACAGGGAGAACCATAGAGTGATTACCCTGACTGTTCCAGTTTTAGCATTGAAAATCTCATGTCCCTGGAACTCCTCAGTTCCAGGCAAACCAGGACAACTGGTCACCCTACCACAGATTCTGATACATAATAATAGTTCAATCAATAAATTTGTTTACCTAAGCAAATTATCTTTGATGAGTCAGTTTTGCTTCCTGGGCTTAAGTCTGTCCAACTATAACCAAAAATTTTAAACAAGATAATGTCTAAGGCCTATTTCAACTCTGATATTTTATTTTATTTATTAATTATTATTATTATTATTTCTTAGGGAGATATTCTCACTCTGTCACCTAGGCTGGAGTGCAGAGCTGTGATTATAGCTCACTGCAACTTCAGTCTCCTGGGCTCAAGTGATCCTCCCGCTTCAGCCTCCTGAGTAGCTAGGACTATAGGTGCAGTAACACCACGTTTGGCTAATTTTTTAAAAAAATTATTTTTTATATTTTGAGACAAAGTCTTGCTCTGTCACCCAGGTTGGGGTGCAGTGGCATGATCTCGGCTCACTGCAACCCCTGCCTCCTGGGTTCAAGCGATTCTCCTGCCTCAGCCCCCTGAGTAGCTAGGATTACAGGCACCTACCACCACACTGCCTGGCTCATTTTTGTATTTTTGGTAGAGACGAGGTTTCACCACGTTGGCCAGGCTAGTCTCAAACTCCTGACTGCAAGCATGAGCCACTGCACCCAGTCCCCTTTCTTTTTAAAGACAAGATCTCACTCTGTCACCCAACTGGAGTTCAGTGGCAGGATCATAGCTCACTTCAGCCTTGAACTCCTGGCCTCAAGTGATCCTCCTGCCTTGGCCTCCCAAAGTGCTGGGATTACAGGCATGAACCACCACACCTGGCCTTTTAATTATTTTTACAGATGGGGTCTTGCTCCATTGCCTAGGCTGGTCTTGAACTCCTGGGCTCAAGCAATCTTCCTGCCCTGGCCTCCCAAAGTGCTAGGATTACAGGTCTGAGCCACCACATCCAGCCCAACTCTGATGTTTTATAACTGGATGTCACATTTATTGCCTGCCTTCACTCATCATTTTACTTTATACTCAGGAAATCTTAAATAGTCACCATTCTAATTTTTTTTAAAAAGCACTGCTGAAAATAGTCATGATACATAAGTAAAAAGTAAGATATAAATCTTATATATGCCATAATCCCAATTTTGTAAATATGTATATTTTTATGTTTAAGAGAAGAAAAGTGAATGCAATTGTGAACTTTTAAGTTATGGATAGTTTTTCCCACTTTCTGCATTTTCAAAACTCTCTACAATGATTGCATGATTTTATAGGCAGTCAGCAAGAGATACAAAACACTAATCTTTATGCTGATGTGGCAGTGGGTATACTTCATTTATTTATTTATTTTTTGAGACAGAGTCTCACTTTGTCATGCAGGCTGGAGTACAGTGGTGGGATCTTGGCTCACTGCAACCTCTGCCTCCCAAGTTCAAGTGATTCTCTTCCCTCAGCCTCCCAAGTAGCTGGGATTACAGGCACACACCACCATGCCTGGCTAATTTTTGTATTTGTATTTTAATTAATTAATTAATTAATTAATTTTGAGACAGAGTCTCACTCTGTTGCCTAGGCTGGAGTGCAGTGGCACGATCTTGGCTCACTGAAACCTCCACCTCCCGGGTTCAAGCGATTATCCTGCCTTAGCCTCCCGAATATCTGGGATTACAGGCATGCACCACCACACCCGGCTAATGTTTTTATATTTTTGGTACAGATGAGGTTTCACCATATTGGCTAGGCTGGTCTCGAGCTCCAGACCTGAAGTGATCCACCCGCCTCTGCCTCCCAAAGTGCTGGGATTACGGGCGTTAACCACCACACCCGGCCTTATTTTATTTTATGTTTTTGAGATAAAGTCTTGCTCTGTCACCCAGGCTGGAGTGCAGTGGTGTGATCTCAGTTCACTGCAACCTCCACCTCCTGGGTTCAAGTGATTCTCCTGCCTCAGCCTCTTGAGTAGACTACAGGCATGCTCCACCATGCCCGGCTGATTTTTGTATTTTTAGTAGAGAGCAGTTTTTGCCATGTTGGCCAGGCTGCTCTTGAACTCCTGACCTCAAGTAAGCTGTCCGCCTCAGCCTCCCAAAGTGCTGGGATTACAGGTGTGAGCCACCATGCCCGGCCAGCAGTGGGTATATTTTAAATAATTATTTTTCAGAAAATTATTATCTTTGCATGAAGTTGTTAACAAAAGTTAAGTCACTTGGCTGGGTGCTGTGACTCACGCCTGTAATCTCAATGCTTTGGGAGGCCGAAGCAGGAGGATTGCTTGAGCCCAGGAGTTTGAGACCAGCTTGGGCAAAATGGTGAGACCCTGTCTCAAAAAAGAAAAAAAAAAAAGAAAGAAAGAAAGAAAATGAAAAAATAAGTTAAGTAACTGACTGTATGTTTCCTTCAGTACAATGGTATTCAAACTTTTTTTTTTTTTTTTTGAGATGGAGTCTTGCTCTGTCACCCAGGCTGGAGTGCAGTGGCACAATCTCGGCTCACTGCAAGCTCCGCCTCCCGCGTTCACGCCATTCCCTTGCCTCAGCCTCCTGAGCAGCTGCGACTACAGGTGCCTGCCACCATGCCTGGCTAATGTTTTGTATTTTCAGTAGATACGGGGTTTCACCGTATTAGCCAGGATGGTCTCGATCTCCTAACCTCGTGATCCACCCACTTCAGCCTCCCAAAGTGCCAGGATTACAGGCGTGAGCCACCGCGCTGGCCTCAAACTTTAATGTAGGTCTGGAGGGGCCTGAAATTCTGCATTTCCAACAAACTTCCAGATGATGTTGGTGCTTCTGGTCTGAGGAACACATTTTGAGTAGGAGGCTTTAGGGTATATTAATTCTAATCCACATTTGACTATTAATGGCAAAAATGTTTTAAACTCTACACTCTATACAGTGTTAATTACAAAAATTTTAACCATCTCCTTCCTTTGGCAGTGCTTCCCAAACTAACACACCGGGTAAATATAGGCAGCTTCTCTTAACTTTCTGAGAGCTGGTGGAGGACGTATGGGAAACTTTGTAAAATCCTTGAGGCATAGTGGTTGGGAATTCCTGCCTTACAGTTAGGTAAATTATAGTTGTCTTTTGTAAACAGGATGTCAAATACATCAAAACCTCTCAGATCAACCAAAATATCAGGATGCTAATGTAGCGTTGATAGATGCTATGTTACTCAAAATATTTATTTACAAAAATATTGCCCATGACCAACCACATTCATTTCACAACAGACTAATGGGTCACTGCCTTTGAAAACATGGTCTAGACAATGTTGCTCAAAGTCAAATTATCATTAAAGTCAAGATATCGTTAATTCTAAGTCAAATCAAACAGACTTCTTTTTCTTTTCTTTTTTTTTTTTTTTTTGAGACTGAGTTTCTCTCTTGTTGCCCAGGCTGGAGTGCAATGGTGCCATCTTGGCTCACTGCAACCTCTGCCTCCTGGGTTCAAGTGATTCTCCTGCCTCAGCCTCCCGAGTAGCTGGGGTCACAGGCATGTGCCACCACACCTGGCTAATTTTTGGTATTTTTAGTAGAGACGAGATTTCGCCATGTTGGCCAGGCTGGTCTCAAACTCCTGACCTCAGGTGATCTGCCCACCTCGGCTTCCCAAACTGCTGGGATTATAGACGTGGGCTGCTGTGCCTGGCCTCAAACAGATGTTTACACTTGCAGAATTTTTGAAGTGGAAACTTGTGGATAAATTTTCTAGCAATAAGGTATTGATTAAAATTTTTTTGTATTTTTATTCAAAAAAATAGAGACAGGGTTTCACTATGTTAGCCAGGTTGGTCTTGAACTTCTGGCCTCAAGCAATCCTCCCACCTCAGCCTCCTGAAGTGCTAGGATTGCACGCATGAGCCACCCATGCCTGGCCATGGTGTTGATATTTATTGAATATCTATTATATTTCAGTAATTATGATAACTATCTTACATCATTTATCTTACTTAATACTCATACCGAAGCTGCAAGGCAAGCACTCTTAACTGCATTTTTCTTATTTGGAAATTTAACCTTGGGGAAGATTAAGTAATGTGCCCAATGTTACAGGTTGAGTAAGTGGCAGAGGTGGAATTCAAACTCCAAATGCCTGGCCTTAAGTGGCGCTGACCCTTCCCTACCTTCACCATCATCACGTAGACGTTCTGTAAAAGCTTAGCAACCCTCGTATTTGGAATTCATTCAGACAACTTCTGGTTTTCCCAGTTAAATCCTATCATCTCTAAATATCAATTCCAATTTTTTTCTTTTATTATTGTTTTTTCTTCTTTTTTCTCAGCCTTAGAAGCAGAAGATTAAAATTCCAAATTTAGCCCAGGCACAGTGGCATACACCTGTTATCCCAGCACTTTCAGAGGCCAAGGCAGGAGTACTGCTTGAGCCCACAAGTCTGAGACCAGCCTGGGCAATATGGCGAAACCTCATCTCTACAGAAAAAAAAAAAATTAGCTGAGTGTGGTGACACACACCTGTAGTCCCAGCTTCTTGGGGCTGAGGCAGGAGGATCACTTGAGCCCAGGAGTTGGGCTGCAGTGAGCCAAGATTGCACCACTACACTCCAGTCTGGATGATAGACCAAGACTCTATCTCAAAAAAAAAAAAAAAAATCCAAATTTGTAAGAGAAAAATAATTTAACTCAACTTGGAGCAGGTGTAAACCCCCATCCAGTCTGCTATAGTCAAAACGATGTCATCTCCTAGTACAGTTATGGCCACCAAGCCCCTACTGTATGGGTTGTTGCTGGGGGGTGATTTCAAAGAAGGAGGCTAGGACAGGGCAGTCACACAAACATATTTACTATACCCGTATTGCTCCTCAGTTGAGAAGGGGGATTTTCTGTCTCCCGCTCCAGAAAAGCCCTCACTGTAGCAACACACTAGGAGAAGCTAGATGAGAGTAACCTGCTTTGTCTCCCAATCCCCTGACAAACTCCTCCCTTCCCCTTCCCCAAATACACAGAAAGGATAGTCCTGGAAGTTCTCACTGGAGGCAGTGGAGAGTGCCAAAATGAAAGGAGCATATGTTTTAGTTTTTGTGACTGAGGACAGTGACAGACTCTCTGGGTCAATAAAGATCTTAGAAGATCCAACAGTAGCCGATCCCTCTCTGTATTTGAGGAATACTGTTGTCCCTTCTTCCCTAGGTCCCAGCAGCTGGCTTTTGCTTCAGGCTCTGAAAACCTGGCATTGTTTATTACATAATTCAAACTTTCCATCCAAGTTGCTATTTTAAACCTTTGAAAAATAAAACAAAATGCAAAATTTCTTTCTAAAAGTTGTCGAATAAAGAAAAAAGCCTCATTCGCCTTCTTAAAAATTATTCAAAATAGAAAATTGGTGTGGTAGTTCTTTAACACATCTTCCTTTATCCTATTAATGTAGGCATATACCTCTGATCAGGAGCCACAATGAAAGTTTCAACTATGCCAAAAACTTAAAACTAAATGAATCAAAAGGCTGTAAAAGCATATGGAAATTAAAAATGCTTAAATCCTTTTCAGATAAATCAAAGAGTACTTTCATCTAATTCCTCTGTTTTTTTCCCACCCCTGAGGAAGATTGACCTGGTCTCTGATTAAAAGAACACTTTGATTGAAGTGCCTTTTAAAAGAATATTTTAATATTTTGCTTTCTGTTATTTGCAATATTATTAAAAGTTTAAAAATACTGTTCCTCATTAACATGAAAAAAAGATTGAATTTTTTTAAAAAGTAGAGACTGGGTCTTGCTATGTTGCCCAGGCTGGTCTCAAACTTCTGGGCTCAAGTGATCCTCCTACTTCAGCCTCCTGAGTACCTGGGACTACAGGTGTGAGTTACTGTGCCCGGCCATTTCATTCTTTTTTTTTTTTTTTTTTTTTTTGCAGCAGAGTCTTGCTCTGTTGCCCAGGCTGAAGTGCAGTGGCACAATCTTGGCTCACTGCAGCCTCTGCTTCCTAAGTTCAAGCGATTCTCCCATCTTAGCCTCCTGAGTAGCTAGGACTACAGTCGTGTGCCATCACACCTGGCTAATTTTTGTATTTTTAGTAGATATGAGGTTTTGCCATGTTGGCCAGGCTGGTCTTGAACTCCTGACCTCAGGTGATCCGCTCACTTCAGCCTCCCGAAGTGCTGGGATTACAGGTGTGAGCCACCGCGCCTGGCCATATTTCATTATTTTGTATGAATGAATAGTATTCCATTATGTATATATACCACATTTTCTTTATCCATTTATTCATGACTTTTTTTTTTTTTTGAGAGAATCTCGCTCTGTCGCCCAGGCTGGAGTACAGTGGTGCGATCTCGGCTCACTTCAACCTCCGCCTCCCAGATTCAAGCCATTCTCCTGCCTCAGCCTCCCCAGTAGCTGTGATTACAGGCGCCTGCCACCATGCCCAGCTAATTTTTTTTTTTAGCATTTTTAGTAGAGACAGGGTTTCACCATGTTGGCCAGGCTGGTCTCAAACTCCTGACCTCAGGTGATCCACCCACCTCAGCCTCCCAAAGTGCTGGTGTTACAGGGGTATGCCACTGCACCCAGCCCATGATGGATTTAGATTGGACATTCCATGTCTTAACTATTGTGAATAGTGCTGGAATAAACATATGGGTACGGGTATCTCTGTAACGTACTGATTTGCTTTCCTTTGGTTAAATACCCAGTAGTGGGATTGCTGGGTCATATGGTAGTTCTATTTCTGTTTTTCTGAGAAATCTCCATAATTTTTTTCCAAAATGGCTATACTAATTTACTTTCCCACCAACAGTGTATACGAATTTTCATTTCTCAGTATCCTTACCAGCATCTGTTATTTTTTGTCTTTTTGATAATAGTCGTTCTAACTAGGGTAAGATAATATGTCATTGTGATTTTGATTTGAATTTCTCTGATGATCAGTGATGTTGAGCATTTTTTCATATACCTGTTTGCCATTTATATGTCCTCCTTTGAGAAATGTCTATTCAGATCCTTTGCCTACTTTTTAATGGAATTATTTATGGGGTGGGTTGGTTTGTTTATTTTTTACTGTTGAGTTGTTTGGGTTCCTTGTGTATTCTGGATATGAATAGTTTTGAAAATGTTTTCCCCTATTCAACAGTTTATCTGTTCACTCTGTTGATTGTTTCCTTTGCTATGCAGAATGTTTCTAGTTTAATATTGCCCCATTTGTCTATTTTTTTTTTTGTTACTTGTGCTTTTGGGGTCCTAGCCATAAAATCTTTGCCTAGAACAATGTCCTGCAGTGGAAGCAAACATTTAAGGGCATCAATAAACTGAAAGCTGGCTCTATGAAAAAATATAGTGAAATAAATCCTGTTAAGATCATTTTAGGGAAAAGAAGCAAAGGTACAAATACATAAGAATTAAAAATGAGCAACAACTACCTGTATAGCAGAGATGAAAAATCCTTTTTTTTTTTTTTTTGAGATGGAGTCTCACTTTTGTTGCCCAGGCTGCTGGAGCGCAGTGGTGTGATCTTGGTTCCCTGCAACCTCTGCCTGCCTCCTGGGTTCAAGCGATTCTCCTGCCTCAGCCTCCCAAGTAGATGGGATTACAGGCACCCACCACCATGCCCTGCTAATTTTTGTATTTTTAGTAGAGATGGGGTTTCACGATGTTGGCCAGGCTGGTCTCGAACTCCTGACCTCAGGTGATCTGCCCACCTTTGCCTCCCAAAGTGCTGGGATTACAGGCGTGAGCCACCATGCCCAGCTGAGATGAAAAATCATAAGAGAGTAACTATAACTTTATGCCAGTAAATTTGAAAGCTTACATGAAAATGGGTAATTACTTAGAAAAGTATAAGTCAACAGGATTAACTCAAGAAGACATTGGAAACCTGGCTAATACCATAATGATAACAAATTGAATTGAGCTGAGTTCAGGGGCTCACGCCTATAATCCCAGCCCTTTTGGAGGCTGAGACCAGCTTGGTCAACATAGCAAGATCCTATTTTTATTAAAAAAAAATTAGTCAGGTATGGTGGTGTGAACCTCTAGTCCCAGTACTCAGGAGGCTGAGGTGAGAGGATCACTTGAGTGCAGGAGGTCAAGGCTGCAGTGAGCCATGATCACCTCACTGTGCTCCATCCTGGATGAAAGAGTGAGATCCTGTCAAAAAAAAAAAAAAAAAAAAAAAAGAATCAAGCTAGGTGCTGTGGCTCAAATCTATAATCCCAGCTACTTGGGAAACTGAGGTGAGAGGATTGCTTGAGCCCAGGTGTTTGAAACCGGCCTGAGCAACATAAGCAAGACCACTTCTCAAACAAAACAAAACAAAACAAAACAAAACAAACAAGCAAAAAGCATCAGTAATTTTAAAAGTCTGCTCACAAAAATGTACCAAAGTGAGTTTTAGCACATTTTCTAAGGTACAGATAACCTTGCTGTTTCTGAGATTAGAAATAGAGAGGACTCCTTAACTAATTTTATGCAGCTAGTATATGCTGGTTATTTATTTCTCAGAACATTAAAGTGGTTGAAAAATACTGAAAAGTAGCTGTTTTAAAACTCACATTATTTCAGGTTTAAATATTTTGTATATACACAGACCAGAATTTAGTATAACTTTATGTGTTCGGGTTTCTGTTTTGTTTTTTTTGTTTTTGTTTTTTTGAGATGGAGTCTCACTCTATTGCCCAGGCCAGAGTGCAGTGGTGCGATCTCAGCTCACTGCAACCTCTGCCTCCTGCCTTCAAGCAATTCTCCTACCTGTCTCCTGAGTAACTGGGATTACTGGCGCCTGCCACTACACCCGGCTAATTTTTGTATTTTCAGTAGAGATGGGGTTTCGCCACATTGGCCAGGCTGGTCTTTTCCTGATCTCAGGTGATCCACCCACCTTGGTCTCCCAAAGTGCTGGGATTACGGGCTTGAGCCACTGCCCCGGCCTGTGTTTTTGTTTTTTTGAGACACGGTCTTGCTCTTTGCCCAGACTGGAGTGCAGTGGCATGATCATGGCTCACTGCAGCCTCGACCTCCTGGGCTCAGGCTATCTATCCTTCCACTTTGGCTTCCTGAGTAGCTGGGACTAAAGGTGTGTACCACCATGCCCAGCTAATTTTTTTCTATTTTTTTGTAGAGACATGGTCTCACTATGCCGCCCAGGCAGATTTCAATCTCCTGGGCTCAAGCGATCCTCCTGCCTCAGCCTCCCAAATTGCTGGGATTACAGGTGTAAGCTATCATGCCTGTCCTACTTTTCTGGTTTTAATAGAAACAAATTCATTAGTATTTTAAAAATCTGTTAATTTTTAAAAATACTCATGATTTACTTACGAAAAAATTAACCACTAAAAATACATGAAAACATGTATATTTTCCCCTTTATCTTAGATTTCAATATGGCTCATCATGTCATTGCTAATGCCTAACTCTATAGCTTAAATAACTGGGCTGTAGCTTTGGCTGAGATGAATACTTTTTACATATTCAGCCTATTTTCCACCTTTTCTTTTCTGTGACTCTTTTCAGAGTCGGTAACATCTCAGGATATAGTACACAAGTAACTTAGTTTGCTATCTTGTGTCGGTAAACAACTTACATTAAAACTTAGTCCCAACCTTAATGTTCATCAGCTGATGAACGGATAAGCAGAATTTGGTATGTTTGTACAATAGAATATTCATTCACCAATAAAAAGAATGAAGTCCTGATACATGCTGTAACACGGAGGAAACTTGAAAACAACCTAAGTGAAGAAAGCCAGCCCCAGAAGACCACATATGTGTAATTCCATATATATGAGATATCCAGAATACGTAAATCTAGAGAGACAGAAAGTACATTAGTGGTTGTCTGGGCCTGATGGTTGCAGAGACTGGGGGAGAAACGGGGAGTGATTGCTAATGGGTATGAGATTTCTTTTTGTGGTGATGAAAATGTTCTAAAATTGTTCACGGTGATGGTTGCTATTGTGTCCGGAATTGGTGGGTTCTTGGTCTCGCTGACTTCAAGAATGAAGCCATGGACCCTCACGGTGAGTATTACAATTCTTAAAGATAGCGTGTCCTGAGTTTGTTCCTTCTGATGTTCGGACGTGTGCAGAGTCTCTTCCTTCTGGTGGGTTCGTGGTCTCACTGACTTCAGGAGCGGAGCTGCAGACCTTTCTGGTGAGTGTTACAGCTCTTAAAGGCGGCCTGGACCCAAAGAGTGAGCAGCAGCAAGATTTATTGTGAAGAGCGAAAGAACAAAGCTTCCACAGTATAAAAAGGGTTCTGAGAGATTGCCTGCTGGCTCCGGTGGCCTGCTTTTAGTCCCTTAATTGGCCGCACCCAGATCCTGCTGATTGGTCCATTTTACAGAGAGCTGATTGGTCCGTTTTACAGAGAGCTGATTGGTCTGTTTTGACAGAGTGCTGATTGGTGCATTTACAAACCTTCAGTTAGACACAGAGTGCTGACTGGTGCGTTTACAATCCTTTAGCTAGACACAAAAGTTCTCCAAGTCCCCACCTGATTAGCTAGACACAGAGCGCTGATTGGTGCATTTACAAACCTTTAGCTAGACACAGAGTGCTGATTGGTGCATTTACAATCCTTTAGCTAGACAGAAAAGGTCTCCTAGCCCCCACCCGACCCAGAAGCCCAGCAGGCTTCACCTCTCACTATCAGTATGGGCCCACGGATTTTTTTTTTTTTTGAGTCAGGGTCTCACTCTGTCACCCAGGCTGGAGCACAGTGGCTCACTCATAGCTCACTACAGCCTTGAACTCCTGGGCTCAAGTGATCCTCCTGCCTCAGCCTCCCAAAGTGTTGGGATTACATGCATGAGCCACCACACCTGGCTGGATTATTTTTTATTCAATATATTATAATCTGTTACATAAATGTAGTCATTCATTTTAATTTCAAATATTTCCTAATTTGACCAGGGAAGCCCCTTCAAGCTGGCTTAGATGTCCTCTTGGCATGGTGTCATCAATTTATAAGCACTGCTTTACTTTAGGCACAAGAAAATGTTCCAGAATCACTTCATATTTTCTTTGACCTGGCCCTGAAATCAGCCATTTTTCCAAGGAGTGTTGTTCCTTTGAGTGGGAAATAGTTTTTAGACACCAAGATCTGGGTATTAACTGTGTTCATTGCCACTGGGATGAGTTGTCAATATGAATATACATAGTATGAATATATGATGTTAGAGGTATCAGTGTAAATTAACACACACTATGCATATACATACATACATACATACATAATTATACCTCTAATTCCAATTCTATTCCACACCACAGGGTTCTTTTTCCCCTTCTGGGGTTCTACTCTACCTGTAGGCCCATTAAGGCCCTTCTAAGGAAGTGATATTAGAGATGAAATCTGAATAATATTTAAGAGTCAGCCATGCCCAAATTTGGAAATAGACCCTTACAGCCAGAAGGAAGAAATACAAAGACTTAAGGCAGAATTAAGTGTGGTATGTTTAAGAAACGTAACAGCCGGCTGGGTGCGGTGGCTCATGCCTGTAATCCTAGCACTTTGAGAGGCTGAGGTGGGAGGATCACCTGAGGTCAGGAGTTTGAGGCCAGCCTGACCAATATGGAGAAACCCCTGTCTCTACTAAAAATACAAAATTAGCCAGGAGTGGTGGTGCATGCCTGTAATCCCAGCTACTCGGGAGGCTGAGGCAGGAGAATTGCTTGAACACGGGAGGCAGAGGTTGTGGTGAGCTGAGATTGCGCCATTGCACTCCAGCCTGGGCAACAAGAGCGAAATTCCATCTCAAAAACAAACAAATAAACAAAAAACCATAACGTGTGGCTGGAATGTATCGAGTTACGGGGGAGAAGGGTTTGAAATGAAATTAATGAGGCAGGAAAGACTTGCTGCATACAAAACTGTACAGGATATAATGAAGGATTTGAAATTTATTTACTTATTTTATTTTTACAGACAGGGTCTTGCTCTGTCTCCCAGGCTGGAGTGCAGTGGCACAATCATAGCTTATTGCAGCCTTGACCCCTTAGGCTCAAGTGATCTCCTGCCTCAGTCTCCTGAGTAGCTGGGACTATAGGTGCAGGCAACCATACCCAACTAATTTTTTTATTTTTTGTATTGATGGGGTTTCACTATGTGGCTCAGGATGAGCTTGAATTCCTGGCCTCAAGCAATCCCCCACCTCGGCCTCCCAGAGTTTTGGGGTTACAGGTGTGAGCCATGGCTCCCAGACTGGAATTTTAGTACAATAGGGAGGCATTGGAAGGTTTTGAGGAGATTGCGGTAATCTGATTTATGTTTAAAAAGATTACTTTGGCCGTTGCATAGAGAATGAATTGTTGAAGAAAAAGCAGGGAGATACTTATAAGACTTACAGTAATCTAGGCAAGATAAAATAATGACTTGAATTAGGGTAACACAGATGAGATAGAAGAGAACAAATCTGGGATCTATTTTGGAGGTAGAGATGGTTGGACTAATTCTGAATTCTCAAATGAATTCTGAAAATTCAAATGAATTTTGAATTCATATATCTACTATGTACTATGCATCGTGCTAAATCCTGGGGATAGAAACATTGAAAAGATACAAGCCTTACTTTTAAGGAGCTCATAAAACAGTAGAGGGGATAGATATACAAATAATTATAATACTGTATGATGAACACAGAATTAAGCATGAGGTAAAACACAGGTCCAAAAGAGGAAGAAATTTACTGCCCGAATGCAGAGAGTAGTTACATAAATCTTCACAAAGGAGCAGAGAGCTGTCTTTTACAGGATAAAAAGGTAGAAAGTAAAATAGGTGTAGGTGCATGAAACAGCTTGGTGAATTCCAAAAACCCTTTAGGATGAATGAAACCTAGAATTTAAGAATGGGTTTAGTCTCAGGTGGAAGCAATTGAGGAGGTTTAAGTGAGAAATGATAATATTAGATTTGCATTTATGAAATATCACTCTGACCTTATAAGGAAAATGATAGATTTGAGGAATAATGCAAAACCAGAGGTAGGAGGAACTTCCACTTCCAGCCATCATGCAATAACAGGGACTGTTCTACTTAATTAGAAACCCAGAAAAAATTATGAAGCAATGTTTCTGGACATTGGGTAACAGGCATTGCAGGACTATCAACCCTAAGATACAGGAAGTAAATGAAGTGAACCCTTGAGTTCCCGACTTACTGCCTGGAGGAAGTTTCCACACGGCAGATAAGGAAAGAGGAATTTAAAGAGTCTGGTGGTCTAGTTGAGTTGAGGAGACAATCACTGGAGTTTGGGGAGGCTAAGACAGCTAGTACTGGTGAGGCAGACTGTCAAAGAGGAGGGAACTGCAAAAAGAAAGAGCTTTGGAGAACTGCAGAGGATTCTCCCTGAATCTTTGGCTGAGGACTGATCTGTGCACATGTATGAGGAAATTATCTGAAGCTAAATATTGGAAAGCAGCAGGCCAAACAATTCCGATAGCTTACCCAGGGCTGGGAATATTTTGTGTGCAAAGCCGGAGTGGGAAGACAAAATAATATATAGTGGATCGGATAGAGTCCTCAGAAGGGGAACACCTTAGTAGTGGAGCTAAATTTTGCTTAGATTAAAGGCTGATCTGGACCCAATCTAACAATTTTTTTTTCTCTGTTGCCCAGGCTGGAGAGCAGTGGCACTGTCATGGCTCACTGCAACCTCCGCCTCTGGGGTTCAAGCAATTCTCCTGCCTCAGCCTCCCGAGTAGCTGGGAATACAGGTTCGCGCTACCACACCTGGCTAATTTTTGCATATGTAGTAGAGATGGGGTTTTACCATGTTGGTCAGGCTGGTCTCGAACTCCTGACCTCAAGTGATACTTCTACCTTGGCCTCCCAAAGTGCCGGGATTACATGCGTGAACTACCGCGACCAGCCCCAATCTAACAAATCTTAAAAGCAAGACTCAAAAGGATCACACTGATTCTATGTCCTTAAAATGTTGACAAAGTCCAACATTATTTAAATAATTTTTAAAAATCCGCCAATGATGGATTTTTGTTGGTGTTGTAAGCAAATACACTCAACAATGTAAAAACCACATTGTCAGCCAGGCGCAGTGGCTCATGCCTGTAATCCAGCACTTTGGGAGGCTGAGGCAGGTGGACCGCTTGAGGCCAGGAGTTCAAGACCAGCCTGGCCAACATGGCAAAACCCCATCTCTACTAAAAATACAAACATTAGCTGGGGGTGGTGGCCCACACCTGTAATGCCAGCTACTTGGGTGGCTGAGGCACAAGAATCACTTAAACCTGGGAGGCAGAGGTTGTAGTGAACCAAGATGGCACCACTGTACTCCAGCCTGGGTGATAGAGTGAGACCCTGTCTCAAGAAAACCAAAAAACCAAAATATCCCGCAATGTCTAGTATCAGATAAGAAATTACCAGGCAAATGGAGAAGCAGAAAAATATGACCTTTAACTAGGAAAAAAATCAATCAAAAGAAAGACAGAAATGACAGAGATGATGGTATTAGCAGACACAGATTTTAGAACAGCTACTGCAAATACACTTCATAATTCTGAGTAAGGTTGCTCTCAGAAAAAACTATATTTATATAAAAGTATATCTATCTATCTATCTATCTATCTATCTATCTATCTATCTATCTGTCTATCTATCATCTTAAAACATAGGCCACAGGAACTGGCATTTTACTTGGTATAGGAATTTAATGAGAACCAAATCACAAAAATATCAGATCTCCTTTTGAGGCTATGGATAATCAGGCTGTTCAGACAATCACCACTTCCAGTGCCTGTTATGTGTTAAATTTAGATAACTACCATTTAGATGCTAAAGAAAGAAGAGGAGATTCAAGTTTCTTAATGATGCTGTTGGTCTTTTTCTTATATTATTGTTTTGGTTTTGTGATTTTGGTGAATAATTTAAGTTCAAAGTCACCTGTGGCTTCTAAGGAAAAAAATAACATCCTGAAAGGCAGAAATTATTTGAACATATTCTCACATGCCCCCTTTAGTTTCGTTTCTAGCAACATGTCTGTAGACCTAAGCTAACTTGACATTGCAATAATCCATCAGGCTTTAAGGATTTTTAGTGAGTTTTTTATATTTAAGTCTTTCTATAGAATTCTTTATAAAACTTTACCTAATTCTTGTTTTTGCTTCCTCAGAAACTCAGTTTTTGTTACACCTGCCATCCTTTACTGGATTTTTCTTTTGATTTGTTGTTGATGTTCTAGCAATGAGCATCATACTTTTATCTCCACCTTAAGAGACCGATGCAGAACGTAAAGCAGAAGCAGTGAACATGAAAGTGGCTGTGGGATTCAGAGACGAAATCCATGTGTCTTTTTCTCTATAGAATTGAAGGATTGACATTTCTCAGTAACTACCTGGCAAAATACGTGTTTTCATAATGTTGAATTTGCCTCTCAGGGAAAAATGTTTCATAAAACACTTGAAAGATACTTATTTTGAAATTAATTATAAAACATTCATGTTTTTATCTTAGGACTGAATTCAAAGGGAAATGCTTCTTTGCCTTTTAAAAAATTGTTTGACTTTCAGCTTTCTGTAGTTACGATTAAAGCAGAAGTGATGGGTGCTATTTCCTGGTTCTGCAATGCTTTACTTTGCCTACTAAGTGATTTACTTTCAAACCTCATTACAGATAATCTTACTAAAAGAGTTAACACGCACTCTGCTAAAAGGTGTTTTACTGTTTTCCATGAACAGCATTGTATGAACAATGTTTTATGAAATGCTGTCTTTTTGTCCTGTAGATTGCCATATCTGTTATGTAGTTATCATATTGCCAAGTCTTTTGTTTTTTTCCTCTAAAAAATCCTCAGACTGGCCAGGTGCGATGGCTTACGCCTGTAATCCCAGCACTTTGGGAGGCCGAGGCAGGCAGATCACAAGGTCAGGAGATGGAGACCATCCTGGCTAACATGGTGAAACCCCGTCTCTACTAAAAATACAAAAAATTAGCCGGGCGTGGTGGCACACACCTGTAGTTCCAGCTGCTCGGGAGGCTGAGGCAGGAGAATCACTTGAACCTGGGAGATGGAGGTTGCAGTGAGCCAAGGTTGTGCCACTGCACTCCAGCCTGGGCAACAGAGCAAGACTCCATCTCAAAAAACAAAATCCTCAGACTCTGTGTCAATCTTCCACATTCTGAATATTATAATACTTTGGCTGTTTCTGTAGAAAGAGCACTTGCAAGTGTGTGTCTTGAAATACCCTCTTGTGTTTGTGTGATGTTAGGTTGTTAACTTGAGATCTTTCTAGCTTTCTGATGTGGCCATTTAGAGCTATAAATTTTCCTTGTAACACTGCTTTAGCTACATCCCAGAGGCTCTGGTACATTGTATCTTTGTTCTCACTAGTTTCAAAGAACTTTTTGATTTCTGCCTTAATTTCATTATTTACCCCAAAAGTCATTCAGGATTCTTTTTTTTTTTTTCAGAGACGGAGTTTCACTCTTGTCACTCAGGTGTGATCTTGGCTCACTGCAACCTCCGCTTCCCATATTCAAGTGATTCTCCTGCCTCAGGCTTCTGAATAGCTGGGATTACAGGTGTGTGGCATCATGCCCCACTAATTTTTGTATTATTAGTAGAGATGGGGTTTCACCATGTTGGCCAGGCTGGTCTTGAACTCCTGACCTCGGGCGATCCACCTGCCTCTGCCTCCCAAAGTGTTGGGATTACAGGTGTGAGCCACCGCACCCAGCCAATTGAGTGAATTTCTTAATCTTAAATTCTAATTTGATTGCACTGTGGTCCAAGAGACTGTTTGTTATGATTTCAGTTTGTGTTTGTGTGCTTATGTGAGTTCTGTCTAAGAAGTCAGATAAGCTCTGGAAGCTTCGTTGTATGTGTCTGCATATGACTGTGTATCTGGGTTATACTGGCAGGCAAAATCCTGCTCTTAGATGGGGTGGCTGAAAGATAAAGTTTCCTGAACTCTACTTGCTGTGTATGTACCCCATTCATACTTCAGAGAGGTGGAATCATCTACAACACTGCATTTCTTGTAATTGTGCTGTTGCTGGTATAAAGTCAAGTGCCTTCAATGCTTAAGGCTCAGATATTTTCCTTAAACTGATTTCAGGTCCTGTGAAAGTGTTTTCTACAACCTGTATAACCAGTACTTTCTAAAACTTGTTTATACTTCAATAGTACCTGTGATTAAAAAAATTTTTTTCTTATTTTTGTTATTGCCTTTTCCCACAAGTTCTAATACATAGTGATTTTTAAAGAAATATATACTATTTTGGCCAGGCGCAGTGGCTTACGCCTGTAATCCCAGCACTTTGGGAGGCCGAGGCGGGCAGATCATGAGGTCAGGAGATTGAGACCATCCTGGCTAACATGGTGAAACTCCGTCTCTACTAAAAATACAAAAAATTAGCCAGGCGTGGTGGCGAGTGCCTGTAGTCCCAGCTACTCGGGAGGCTGAAGCAGGAGAATGGCATGAACCTGGGAGGCAGAGCTTGCAGTGAGTGGAGATCGCGCCACTGCACTCCAGCCTGGGTGACAGAGCCAGACTCTGTCTCAAAAAAAAAAAAAAAAAGAAATATATACTATTTTAACTTAGGTATCTTCAAACTTGCATTTGTCTGTGCAAAGCATTGTAAGCTGATACATTTCTCACTCACTCTCTCTCTCTTTTTTTTTTTTTTTACAGGTGTGCACCACCACGGCCAGCTATTTATTTATTTATTTATTTTATTTTTAGTAGAAACAGGATTTCACTATGTTGGCCAGGCTGGTCTTGAACTCCTGGCCTCAAGTGATCTGCCTGCCTCGGCCTCCTGAAGTGCTGGGATTACAGGCATGAGCCACTGCGCCTGGCCCTCGCTTTTATTCTTTTAAAAAATAATTTGCTATTTCAAGTAAAAATAATAATGATGTAGTGTGGCGTTTTAAACAAAAGTAACAGTAAAATGCATGACAACAAAGCACAAAGAATGGTGGGGGGAAATGACATATACTCTTGTAAGATACTTACACAATGTACTATATGCACTAGATACAGTCATGCATTGCTTAACAACAGGGATATGGTTTGAGAAATGTGTCATTAGGTGATTTCATCATTGTGCAAACATCATGGAGTGTACTTACACAAACCTAGATGGTATAACCTACTACATACCTAGGCTATACAGCATATAGCCTATAGCTTCTAAGCTACAAAACTGTATAGCATGTTAATGTACTGCATACTGTACAAAATTGTAACACAATGGTAAATATTGGTGTATCTAAATGTATTTAAACATAGAAAAGGCAATATGTTGTGCTATTATGTTATAATGGGTACAACATCACTAGGCAACAGGAATTTTTCAGCTCCACTGTAATCTTATGGGACCATGGTCATATATGTGGTCCATTGTTGACTGAAAAATTATATGGTGCATTACTGTATACAAAATGTATACAAATATACTATAATAGCATTTTAAGGTAAACTACTATAACTTAAAGACATATCATACAATTATGGTGATATGTCATTCTTTTCAATTCTCTTTCTTAGTTTCCACATCTGCTGTGAGGCCAATCAATATTGAAATAAGAACAGGGCATCATGGATTTTCTTTTGCCTGAAATTCAGCCATTAGATAAATTTACCACCCCTTCTTGCTTGCTAGGACCTAGAAGGGTAAAATTTTTAGATATTGGTTTGATCAATGGTTGGAGGCCTTTAGAGACTGTAAAACTGGAACACTGCTTTCAAGATAGTAGGCTGATCAGGCGTGGTGGCCCATGCCTGTAATCCCAGCTACTTGGGTGGCTGAGGCAGGAGAATCATTTGAACCCAGGAGGAGAAGGTTGTGGTGAGCTGAGATCGTGCCACTGCACTCCAGCCTGGGCAACAAGAGCAAAACTCCATCTCAAAAAAAAAAAAAAAAAAAGATAGTAGACTGATTACATATGACAGTTGCCCTCAATAATATGCTTGAGAAATAATTGAAAAACTACCGAAAAAAAGTAGAAAGTTCTGGTAATGACATAATTGCTTATACTGAATAAATTCTCCTGCAGATAACGATTATGAACTGAAGGGCCACTAAAACAGAGCAGAAGCTGGAGATTTGGCATTTGAAAGAAGGAAACAATAATACATTAGTTAAGATATATGTTTAATAGGCTTTCCCACTTAGGATATTCCCGACTTTCTGTAATACCTGGAGGCTAGATCTGAAAGCAGAAAGCTAGAGTCTTATTGACCTGAGGAATTAGAAAAGGAATTTCAAACTGCCAGAGCGCCTGGAAATTAAGGAAGGGAGAAAATCCTAGAAAGGAGGGAGATGTGGATGTCAGAGCCCCAAATTTGTATATAAATGCCCCTCAAATCCTTGGCTCACTTTTGAACTGTACATGCATGGGTGAAAATCCAAGGGATCTGGAGAAAACAACAGCTGGGAACTGAAAGAGCCAAGCAGACGCTTCAGCTGTTGTCAACCACAGTGGAGACAGACTTTAATCTTTAAAGACTTACTTGACTTGAATAAGAGGAAAAGCTCTAGCTCTGATAAATATGTCTGACTTGAGCTACCACAGTATAGAATTGTGGCTCCTCAACCACTTCGCAGATTTGAGCCGGTTCACAGGCCCAGATCCCTTTGGATAAAGAATGGGTTTTGAAGAAAGACCCTGCCTCTCTGTTTGAAATTTACACTGTAAATCTTTCTCCTAGGCTCTCCACAAAAGCTTTGCAGCCATTTACCAGAGTGACAGTTTATTAGGCTAAGGGAAATAAAAGCTAGATTTTTCTTATGGATTACTAGATAATGGTTGTGGACTGACATAATTCCTGGAGACCTAAAATGTCACAGTGGTCTTCTAGTCAAAACAGAGGCTTATGGAGGTCAGGTTATTAATGGAGTTTTGGTTTGGGTTCATCTCAGTGGGCCCATGGTTATTACTCCAGTTCCAGAATGTGTATTTGAAATAAATGTACTTAGCAAATGGCAAAATCTCCACACAGGTTCCCTGACCCGTGGAATGAGGGTTATTGTGGTAGCAAATGCCAAATGGAAGCCACTAGAATGGTTTTCCCTTTCACAATAGTAAACCAAGAGCAATACCACATAGATTGTAGTGATTAGTGTTGCTTAAGGGATGCAGAGGTGGTGATTTCTGCCACATCTTCTTTCAACTTGCCTATTTGGTCTGTGGAGAAAATAGATCTTAGAAAATGAAAGTAGATTGTTGCAAATGTAATCATGTGGTTCTTCCAACTACAGCCACTGTTTCAGGCATTGATTCATTGCTGGAGCAAAGAAACACATTCTTTTGAATCTGTTATCCAGCTACTCCACTGGCAAATGCTTTTCTCTCTCTTCCTGTTATTATAGACTACAAGTAGTAGTTTTATTTCACCTGGAAGGATCAGCACTGCACCTTCACTGTTCTACCTCAGGGCTGTATTACCTCTCTAACCCTCCGTTATGTTATAATCTGGTCCAAATGGGTCTTGATCCATAGGATATTTTTGAGATCATCCTGACTGGAACTGGTGAGCAAGAATTACCAGCTACTCTAAACAAGTCAATAATATAATGTGTGCCAAAGGGTGGAAATAAATACCAAAAAATTCAAGAGAGTGTTGCCTCAGTAAAATTACTAGGCATCGAGTGGTCTGGAGCATGTTCAGATATCCTTCCAAGGTGAAAGACTAGTTTCTGCATCTGACTCCACCAACCACCAAGAGGCACAATGCTCAGTGGGCTGCTTTGGATATTAGAGGCAACATACACTTAGGCACCAAGAGGCGCAACGTCTAGTGGGCTTCTTTGGATATGGGAGGTAACATATACTTCTTTAACTGTGCTACTCTGACTCATTTGCTGAGTAACCCGAAAGAGTTCTTCTAGTTGTGAGTGGGGCCCAGAAGAATAGAACACTCTGCAACAGGTCCAGGCTGCCATGTCAGTAGTTCTGCCACGTGGGCCATATGACCCAGCATATCCATGCTTCTTGAAATGTCTATAGCAGATAGGGATGCTATAATGGAGACTTTTACAGACCACTATTGGTAAATCAGAGCCTATAGAATTTGAAGCAAAGCTATGTTCTCCTCTGCCAATAATTGTTATCCTTATGGCTTGCTATTAAACTACTAGAAACTTAACATATGACCATGGTCACCAAGTTACTACATGAGTTGAGCTGTTTACCATGAAGTGAATGTTGTCTGATCCATCAAGACATAAAGTTAGGCATGCATATATGCACTCAGTCAATTAGTGGAATTGGGACATAATTGGCTTTGAGCATATTCTGAAGGCATAAACAAATTGCACAAGGAAATGGTTAAGAGATCCATGGCTCTTGGTCCTATTACATGACCTTCTCTTTCTCAACACATATCAATGTCATCAAGTAGAGTTTCTTGTCACCAGTTGACTGACGAAGAATATACTTGAGCTTGGTTTACAGATAGTTCTGTATGATATGCCAGCATCTTCTGAAAGTTCACAGCTGGAACACCACAGTCCTGCTAAGGTATGGCCCTGATGGGCATTGGTGAAAGAAAATCTTCTAAGTAGGTATAACTTTGAGCAGTGCACTTGGTATAGCCTGAAAGGATAAATATTCAGAGATACAGATCTCTACTGATTCATCGGCAATAGCTATTGGTTTGGCTGGAGGGTTGGAAACTTGTAAAAAGTACAATTAGAAAACCAGTGACAGCCGGGCGCAGTGGCTCACGCCTATAATCCCAGCACTTTGGGAGGCCAAGGCAGGAAGATCACCTGAGGTCAGGAGTTTGAGACCAGCCTGGCCAATGTGGCAAAACCCTGTCTCTACTAAAATACAAGAAATTAGTGGGGTGTGGTGGCGGGCGCCTGTAATCCCAGCTACTTGGGAGGCTGAGGCAGGAGAATTGCTTGAACCTGGGAGGCGGAGGTTGCAGTGAGCTGAGATTGTGCCATTGCACTCCAGCCTGGGCGACGGAGTGAGACTCTGTCTCAAAAAAATAAAATAAAAATAAAATAAAATAAAATAAAATAAAAATAAATAAAAAATAAGTAAATAAAATAAAATAAAAAAAGAAAATCAGTGACAAGGAATCTGAGGAAGATGTATGTAGATAAATTTCTCTGAGTGGGTACAGAGTGTGAAGATAAATTTGAGCCCCATTTAGAAGCTCCTCAATGAGGAACATCAGAAGATGTTAATAGTCAGGTAGATAAGATGATGCAGTCCATGAAGTCAGTTACCTTCTTTCAACAGTCACCTTTGTCCTTGCTCAATAGACTCCTGAACAATGTGGCCATGGTGGAAGGGATGGCGATTACTCATGGGTTAGCAATATGAACCTCCACTCTCTAAAGCTGATATGACTATAGCCACTTCTGAGTGCCCAACCTGCCAACGGCGGATACCAACACTAGTTCTCCATTTCCTGAGGGTGTGGAGGGGGTGGGGGAGTTGAGTCAGCCACCTGCAGCCAGGTTGATTATATTGGACTGCTTCCACCGTGCAAAGGCATCTTTATTCTTACTGGAATATACCCTTACTTTGGAAATGGATTTGCCTTCCAAGACCACATTCCGTGGACTTCAGAGCACTTCATTTACCATCATGGTATTTTGAAAGGATTGCTTCTGACCAGAAAATAATTTTACTTTACATCAAATGAGGTGTGTCAGTGGGTTAATGCTCACAGAATTCACTTGTCTTACCATGTTTCCCATTACCCTGAAGTAATAGCCTAATACAATAGTAAAAGGAGTTTTGAAGACTCAGTTATAGTGCTGGCTGGCTGGCAATACTTTGCAGGGCCCAGGAAATGTCCTCCAGGATGTGGTACATGCTCAGCTACCAAGATATGGTGCTGCCTGTCTCATGGCCAGGATTCTCAGGCCCAAGACACAAGGGTGACTCCTCTCACTATTACTCCTAATAATCCAGTAGTGAATATTTTGCTTTCTGTCTCAGCTATGTGATCAGTTACAGAAATAATGATGGTAGCAATTATAGCTATTTCAGTCTTACTTTGAAGTGTATTTGTATATATTTTAACCAATTCTTTTTCTTTTCTTCTCCTATGTCATTTCCTTACTATCTAACATCTGTTAATAGTGGTTAACTAAGCATCTCATTACTTAGGTTAACAGAATGCAAATAGAGATCTGTGACTCACTAGATGAGAAACAAATGTCACCCAAAGACAGATAAGGGGACTTTGTAGCCTCTTTTAGCAAGAGAGTTGATACTTTTTTGTTGTTATAAAAGAGGTTCTGAGGCCAGGCATGGTGGCTCACACCTGTAATTCCAGTACTTTGGGAGGCCAAGGTGGGCAGATCACCTGAGGTCAGGAGTTTGAGACCAGTCTGGCCAATGTGGTGAAACCTCATCTCTACTAAAAATACAAAAATTAGCCAGGCATAGTGGTGCATGCCTGTAATCCCAGCTACTCAGGAGGCTGAGGCAGGAGAATTTCTTGAACCTGGGGGTAGGAGGTTGCAGTGAGCTGAGATCGTGCCCTGCACTCCAGCCTGGGTGACAGAGTGAGACCCCCACTCAAAAAAAAAAGGTACTGTATCATGTCTGATTAAAGCATGATTTTGCTATTTTTTATTGTATATATTTAGAATGTATAACATGATGTTTTGCTGTACTTATCTTGATCTACATATACATAGTGAAGGGATTACCACAGTCAAGCAAATTAATATACCCATTATCTCATACATTTACCTTTTCTCCCTTTTTTTTCTTGTTATGGTAAGAGTACTTAAAACCTACTCTTTTGGCAAATTATCAGTATACAATATTATTAACTATAGTCCTCATGTTGTACATTAGATCTGAGACTTATTCATCACACATAACTGCAATTTTGTACCATTTGATATACATCTTCCCATGACCCACCCCTGCCACTGGTAAGCACCATTCTACTCTTTATTCGTATGTATTTGTTTGTTTAATATTCCATATATAAGTGAGATCATGTAGTATTTTCCTTTCTGTAACTGCCTTATTTCACTTGGCATAATGTCCTCCAAATCCATCCATGTTGTGGTAAATGGTAGGATCTCCTTCTTTTTTAAAGCTGAATAATATTCCTGTATATAATATGCATAATAATCCTATATAATATATATATTATATACTTATGTATTCAGTTTCATTCTTCTACATGTGGCTTGCCAGTATTCCCAGCACCATTTATTGAATAGGGTGTCCTTTCCCCACTTTATGTTTTTGTATGCTTTGTCAAAGATAAGTTAGCTGTACATATTTGGCTTTATTTCTGGGTTCTCAGTTCTGTTCCCTGGTCTACATGCCTATTTTTATACCAGTACCATGCTGTTTTGGTAACTATAGCCTTGTAGTATAATTTGAAGCTGGGTAACGTAATGAATGCTTCCAGATTTGTTCTATTTGCTTAGATTTGCTTTGGCTATGTGGGCTTTTTTTTTGTTTCCAAGTGAATTTTTTTCTTTCTTTTTTCTTTTCTTTTTTTTTTTTTTTTGAGACAGAGTCCTGCTCTGTCACCTGTCTTGTGTCTCAATCTTGGCTCACTGCAACCTCTGCTTCCTGGATTCAAGCGACTCTCCCACCTGATCCTCCCAAGTAGTTGGGACTACAGGCTCACACCACCACACCTGGCTAATTTTTGTATTTTTAGTAGAGACAGGATTTCACCATGTTGGACAGGCTGGTCTCAAAACTCCTGACCTCAAGAGATCTGCCCACCTTAGCTTCACAAAGTGCTAGGATTACAGGCATGAGCCGCTGTGCCCAGCCTGGTTCCATATGAATTTTAGGGTTGTTTTTTCTAGTTCTGTGAAGAATGATGATGGTATTCTGATGGAAATTGCATTGAATCTGTAGACTGCTTTGGGCCATGTGGTCATTTTCACGATATTGATTCTATCCATCCATGAGCATGGGATGTGTTTCCATTTGTTTGTGTCATCTGTGATTTCTTTCAGCAGTGTTTTGTAGTTTTCTTTGTAGAGATCTTTAACCTCCTTGGTTAAGTATATTCCTAAGTATTTTAATTTTTTTTGCAGCTGTTTTAAAAGGGATTGAGTTCTTGATTTGATTCTCAGCTTGGTTACTGTTTGTGTATAGCAGTGTTACTGATTTGTGTACATTGATTTTTTTTTTTTTTGAGACAGGGTCTCACCCTGTTGCTCACTGCAACCTCTGCCTCCTGGGTTCAAGTAATTCTCTTGCCTCAGTCTCCCAAGTAGCTGGGATTACAAGTGTCTGCCACCACATCTGGCTGCTTTTGTTGTATTTTTAGTAGAGATGGGGTTTTACCATGTTGGCCCGCTGGTCTCAAACTCCTGACTGCAAGTGACCCGCCTGCCTCGGCCTCCCAAAGTGCTGGGATTACAGGCATGAGTCACTGCACCTGGCTTGTATGTTGATTTTGTATCCTGAGACTTTACTGACTTCATTTCTCGGGTCTAGGAGCTTTTTGGATGAGTCTTCAGGGTTGGTTTTGTTTTGTTTTGTTTGTTTTTGTTTTTGTTTTTGGAGATGGAGTCTTACTCTGTTGCCCAGGCTGGAATGATCTTGGCTCACTGCAACCTCTGCCTCCCAGGTTCAAGCTATCCCCCTGCCTCAGTCTCCCAAGTAGCTGGGACTACAGGTACATGCCACAACGCCTGGCTAATTTTTTGTACTTTTAGTAGAGATGGGGTTTCACCATGTAGGCCAGGCTGGTCTCGACCTCCTGACCTCAGGTGATCCACCTGCCTCAGCCTCCTAAAGTGCTGGGATTACAGGCATGAGCCACTGTGCCCGGCCCGGGTTATCTAGGTATACAATCATATCATTGGCAGATAGCGACAGTTTGACTTCCTCTTTTCCAATTTGGATGCCCTTTATTTCTTTCTGTTGTCTGATTGCTCTGGCTAGGACTTCCTATCCAGAATAGAAGCGGTGAAAGTGGGCATCCTTGTTGTGTTCCAGTTCTCAGGGGAATACTTTTAACTTTTCCCCATTCAGTATGATGTTGACTGTGGGTTTGTCATAGATGGCTTTTATTACTTTGAGGTATGTCCCTTCTATGCCAATTTTTTTTTTTTTGACAGAGTCTCACTCTGTCACCAGGCTGGAGTGCAGTGGCGTGATCTCAGCTCACTGCAGCCTCTGCCTCCCGGGTTCAAGTAATCCTCCTGCCACAGCCTCCTGAGTGGCTGGGACTATAGGCACACACCACCACGCCCAGCTAATTTTTTGTATTTTTAGTAGAGATGGGGGTTTCACCATGTTGGCCAGGATGGTCTCGATCTCTTGACCTCGTGATCTGCCTGCCTCAGCCTCCCAAAGTGCTGGGATTACAGGCGTGAGGCACTGCGCCCGGCCCTATGCCAATTTTTTGAGGGTTTTTAATCATAAAAGGATGTTGGATTTTATCAAATGTTTTTTCTGCATCTATTGAGATGATCATATGATTTTTGTTTTTAATTATGTTTATGTGATATATCACATTTATTGATTTGCATATAGTGAACCACCCCTGCATCACTGGTGTAAACCCTACTTGATCATGAAGTATTATCTTTTTGATATGCTGTTGGATTCTGTTACCTAGTATTTTGTTGATGATTTTCTGCATCTATGTTCATCAGTGATATTGGTCTGTAGTTTTCTTATTTTGTTATGTCCTTTCCTGGTTTTGGTATTAGGGTGATACTGGCTTCATAGGATGATTTAGGGAGGATTTCCTTTTTATCTTTTCGAATAGTTTCTGTAGGACTGGTATCAATTCTTCTTTGAATGTCTGATAGAATTCAGCTGTGAATCCATTTGGTCGTGATCATTTTTTGTTGTTGTTGGCAATTTTTTTTTTTTTTGAGACAGAGTCTCACACTGTCACCTGGGCTGGAGTGCAGTGGCGTGATGTCAGCTCACTGCAACCTCTGCCTCCTGGGTTCAAGCGATTCTCCTGCCTCAGCCTCCCAAGTAGCTGGGATTACAGGCATCCGCCACTATGCCTGGCTTATTTTTTTTTGTATTTTTAGTAGAGACAGGGTTTCACTATGTTGGCTGGGCTGATCTCGAACTCCTGACCTTGTGATCCGCCTGCCTCGGCCTCCCAAAGTGCTGGGATTACAGGCATGAGGCACCGTGGCTGGCCAGCAATATTTTAAAAAAACTACTGATTCAATCTTGCTGCTTGTTATTGGTCTGTTCAGGGTTTCTACTTCTTCCTCATTTAATCTGGGAGGGTTGTATGTTTCAAGGAATGCATCCGTCTTCTCTAGATTTTCTAGTTTGTGTACATAAAGGTGTTCATAGTAGCCTTGAATGATCTTTTGCATTTCTGTGGTAGCAGTTGTAATATGTCCAGTTTCATTTTTTTACTCTTTCATTTGTCAATGGGCACTTTGGTTGTTTCCATATGATGGTTATCATAAATAATGTTTGTAATGAACATGGGGGTGTAGATATCTTTACCAGGGGTTATTTCATTTCCTTTGGGTATATATCCAGAAGAGGCATTGCTGGATCATATAATAGTTCTATTTTCAGTTTTTAAAGGAATCTCCATACTGTTTTTCACACTGGCTGCACCAATCTGCATTCCCACTAACAGCATACAAGGGTTCCCTTTTCTCTGTACCTCAGCAGACACTTACTTTTTCTCTTTTTGATAAAAGTCTTCCTAACAAGCAAACGATGATATTTCATTTCATTGTTGTTTTAATTTGCATTTCCTTGATGATTAGTGACGTTGAGCACCTTTTCTGTTCCATTTGTTTATGTGTCTGTTTTTACGCCAGTACCATATTTTTTTGATTACTATAGTTTTATGGTAGATTTTGAGGTAACGTAAGGTAATGCATCCAGCTTTGTGCATTTTGCTAAAGATTGCCTTGACTGGCCAGGCGCAGTGGTACACACCTGTAATCCCAGCACTTTGGGAGGCCAAGGTGGGTGGATCACTTGGGTTCAGGAGTTTGAGACCAGCCTGGGTAACATGGAGAAACCCCACCTCTACTAAAAATACAAAAATTAGCCAGTCTGCTGGTACATGCCTGTGGTCCCAGCTTCTCTGTAGATTGGAGGCAGGAGGGTCATTTGAGCCAGGGAGGTGAAGGTTGCAGTGTGCCGGGATTGTGCCACTGCACTCCAGCCTGGGTGACAGAGCGAGAACCTGTTTCAAAAAGAAAAAAAAAGAAAAGAAAAAAGATTGCCTTGGTTATTAGGGGGCTTTTGTGATTCCATATTAACTTTATGTTTTTTTTTCTATTTTTGTGAAAAGTGATATTGAGATTTTGATAGAGATTGCGTTGACCAGTACTGGTCCATGGCCTGGGGGTTGGGGACTCTTGGATTAAAGGCTTAAATGTAAGATCTAAAACTATGAAACTAATAGACAAAAACATTGGAGAAACACTCTAGGACATTGGTCTAAGCGAAGATTTTTTTTGGGTAAGACCTCAAAAGCACAGGCAACAAAAGCACAAATAGGCAAATGGGATTGCATCAAGCCAAAAAGCTTCTGTTGCAGTTAATGAAACAATCAATAAAGTGAAGAGACAACCTACAAAATGGGAAAAAATATTTGTAAGCTATCAATCCAACAAGGGATTAATAACCAGAATATGTAAGAAACTCAAACAACTCAAGAGTAAAAGAAAAAAATGATTAAAAAATGAGCTAAAGACCTGAATAGACATTTCTCAAAACATACAAATGGCCAACAGGTATATTTAAAAATACTCAGTATTACTTATCATCAGGAAAATGCTAATCACAACCACAATGAGATATTATCTCACCATAGTTAAAATGGCTATTATAAAAAGGACAAAAAATAACACATGCTGGTGAAAATGCAGAGAAAGGAGAACTATTGTAGACTGTAGTAGGAATGTAAAGTAGTACAACCACTGTGAAAAACAGCATGGTGGTTCCTCCAAAACTTAAAGACAGAACTGCCATATGATCCAGCAATTCCACTGCTAGGGATAGATCCAAAAGATGGGAAATCTGTATACTGAAGACTACCTGCACTCCTGTGTTTATTGCAGCACTAGCACTATTCACAATAGCCAAGAGATGGAATCAACCTAGGTGTCCATCAAAGGATGAATAAATAAGAAAATGTGGTATATATACACAATGGAATACTATTCAGCCACAAAAAAATAAAATCCTGTCATTGCAGCAACATGGATGGAACTAGAAATCATTATGTTAAGTGAAATAAGCCAGGCACAGAGAGACATTTTATGTTCTCACTCATTCGTGAGAGCTTAAAAAGTGGATCTAACGGAGGTAGAGAGTGGAAGGGTGGTTACCAGAGGCTGGGAAAGGAATGGTGGAGAGGTGGGTGAAGAGAAGTTGGTTAATGGCTACTAACATACAGTTAGATAGAAGCCATAAGTTAAAATGTTTGCTAGTAGAGTAGGGTGACTATAGTTAACAACAATGTATTATGTATTTCAAAATAGCTAAGAAGTATAATGTTCCCAGCACAAAGAAAAGATAAATGTTTGAGGTGAGGGATGTCTCAATAATGTTAATTTGATCATTACACATTGTATACATGTATCGAAATACTAAAATATCCCAAATACGTATAATAATTGTGTATTAATAAATATAATACAAAAATTCTAAGTTTTAGTTTTGTTCATCTTTTCTATTGTTTTTCTAGTATCGATTTATTTCTTCTCTGATCTTTATTTCATTTCTTCTACTAACTTTGGGCTTAGCTTGTTCTCCTTTTTCTAGTTCCTTGAGGTATAACATTAGCTTATTTATTTGAGATCTTTCTTCCATTTTAATGTACGTGTTTATTGCTATAATCTTCCCTCTTAGAACTGCTTTTGTTGAATCCCACAATTTTGGGGATATTTTGTTTCTATTTAGCTCATTTCAAGATATGTTTGTATTTCCATTTTGATTTCTTCTTTGATGCATTGGTTGTTCAGGAGCACATTGTTTAATTTACACAGTTGTGAATTTTCCAAATTTACTCCTGTTTGTTGATTTCTAGTTTCATGCCATTTTGTCCACAAAATATACTTGATTTGATTCAAATCTTCTTAAAGATGTTAAGACTTGGTTCAGGTGGGTCCTAGCAGCGGTGTCTTCTGAGGCTCTCCATGCCTTCTTCTTTTCACTTCCGGAAACATGGCCTCAGGGGTGGCCGTCTCTGATGGTGTCATCAAGGTGTTCAAGGACATGAAGATGCATAAGTCTTCAATGCCAGAGGAGGTGAAGAAGTGCAAGAAGGTGGTGTTCTTCTGCCTGAGTGAGGACAAGAAGAACATTATCCTGGAGGAGGGCAAGGAGATCCTGGTGGGCGATGTGGGCCAGACTGTCAACAACCTCTATGCCACCTTTGTCAAGATGCTGCCATATAAGGACTACCGCTACACCCTCTATGACACAACCTACGAGACCAAGGAGAGCAAGGAGGAGGACCTGGTGTTTATCTTCTGGGCCCCTGAGTCTGCACCCCTTTAGAGCAAAATAATCTATGCCAGCTCCAAGGACGCCATCAAGAAGAAGCTGACAGGGATCAAGCATGCATTACAAGCAAACTGCTACGAGGATGTCAAGGACCACTGCACCCTGGCAGAGATGCTGGGGGGCAGTGCCATCATCTCCCTGGAGGGCAAGCCTTTGTGAGCCCCTTCTGGCCCACTGCCTGGAGCATCTGGAAGCCCCACACCTGCCCTCGGGGGTTGCAGGCTGCCCCCTTCCTGCCAGACCAGAGGGGCTGGGGGGATCCCAGCAGAGGGAGGGCAATCCCTTCACCCCAGTTGCCAAACAGAACCCGCACCCCTTGGATTTTCCTCCTCCCTCCATCCCTGACGGTTCTGGCCTTCCCAAACTGCTTTTGATCTTCTGATTCCTCTTTGGTTGAGGCAGACCAAATTCCCCCCAGGAACTCCAGTTGTGGAGTGGCCTGTATTTTTTTTTAACAACACCCCTACTCCCCACCTGTTCCTCCCCCTTCCCATGCTGCCAACTTCTAACCGCAATAGTGACTCTGCGATTGTCTGTTTAGTTCTATGCATAAATGGAATGCTGTGGAGATGATCCCTCCCTGTGCCAGCTGTTTCCTCTCCCTTTTCCCCTGATCATTGCTACTCATGGAAGCAGGGCCAGTAAGGGATCTTCGATTAAAAAAAAAAAAAAAAAAGACAATAATAAAAAGACTAAAAAAAAGAAAAAAGATGTTAAGACTTGTTTTGTGGCCAAACAAGTGATCTTTCTGGAAAATGTTCCATGTGCTGATGAAAAGAATGTGTATTTTGCAGCAGTTGGGTGAAATGGTCTGTAACTGTCAGTTAGGTCTATTTGGTCTAGTGTATAGTTTAAGTTTGTTGATTTTCTGTCTGGATGGTCTGTTCACTACTGAGAGTGGGGTACTAAAGTCACCTACTATTACTGTACTGAAGTCTATGTCTTCCTTTAATTCTATTAATGTTTGCTTTATATACTTGGGTGCTCCACTATTGGGTGCATAGATACTTATAATTGTTATATTCTCTCACTGAATTGACCTCTTTTAATCATTATATAATATCTTTCTTTGTCTCTTTTTACAGTTTTTTTGACTTAAAGTCTATTTTGTCAGATTTTAGTATAGCTACCCGTTCTCTTTAGTTTCCATTTTCATAGAAAATTTTTTTCCATCTCTTCACTTTCACTTTCCATCTCTTCACTTTCACTGTGTCCTTAAAGCCAAAGTGATTCTCTTGTATGTAGCATATAGTTGAATCTTGTGTTCCTTTTAAATTGATTCAGCCACTCCATAGAATTTAATCCATTTACATTCAAGGTAATTATTCATAGATAAGGACCTGCTACTGCTATTTTATTAGTTGTTTTCTGGTTACTTTGGTTTTCTTTTTTTTTCTTTTTTGAGACAGGGTCTTGCTCTGTTGCCCAGGCTGGAGAAGGGTGGCATGACCTTGGCTCACTGAAGCCTTGACCTCCTGGGCTCAAGTGATCCTCCTGCCTCAGCCCCCAAGTATCTGGGACTACAGGTGTGTGCCACCATGCCTGGCTAATTTTTAAATATTTTGTAGAGATAAGGTTTGCCATGTTGCCCAGGCTGGTCTCAAACTCCTGAGCTCAAGCAATCCACCCACCTTTACCTCCCAAAGTGCTGGGATTACATTTGTGAGCCACCGAGCCTGGTGTTTATGATTACTTCATTGATCTTTTGCTCTCTTCTTTTTCTTTTGCTGTTTTCCTTTGTCAGTTGATGATTTTCAATAATCGTATGCTTTGATTCCTTTCTCTTCATCTTTTGTGTATTTGTATAGGTGTTTTCTTTGTGGGTACTGTGAGGCTTACATACATCTTATAGTTAAAACAAGTTATTTTGAGCAAAAAACAACTCAACTTTTATCACATCTTAAAAACTGTACACTTTTACTCCTTCCCCTCAAATTTTGTTTCTGATATCTGTGGAGCAACTCCATCTTGCATACTAATCTGCCATGCTGACTTCTGATTAACCCTTGTTAATCAGAGAAAGCCTCTAAGACCTCTACCTTAACTACTGTCAATCCCGGCCTTAAGTCAAAACAACCGTGATCATAAATTTTGCCCTTATACATATTCACATAACATTTTTGCCTTTCCCTGAGGGGTTGACTTCAATTGTCCTACACATTCCTCCCTGTGGTATATAAGCCTTGGGTCTGGAGAGTAATGGTGTGGAGATCCACCATCTCATCTTGTGGCTGCTGGGACATGGCTTCTGCTTGTAAGACTCTATTAAATGTTTCTTTCTGAGAAACTGGATATGCCAGTCTCTTTCTTCAGCCTTTCAGCTTCTTTGGAATTTGGGGGTAGGTCTGCATATGCCTGCCCACTGCAGAACAATGTCACAATTTACATCTTTTTTTGTTTTGTTTTGTTGTTTCAAAAAAATTTTTGTAGAGATAGGGTCTCATTATGTTGCCCAGGCTAGTCTCAAATCCTGGCCTCAAGTGATCCTCCTACCTTGGCCTCCAAAAGTGCTAGGATTACAGATGTGAGCCACCATACCCAGACTACATCTTTTAAAATTGCGTTTTTGGTAAAAATTATTTTAGCTATAGTTATTTTAATACTTTTGTCTTTTAACTTTTATAGTATAGATAAAAATGATTTGCATACCACTGTTATAGTATTAGAGTATTCTGAACTTGGCTATATATTTATTATTGAGTTTTTTTCTTTCATATGTTTTCTTTTCTTTTTTTTTAGATGGAATTTGACTCTGTCACTCACCCAGGCTGGAATGCAGTGGTATGATCTTGGCTCACTGCAACCTCCGCCTCCCAGGTTCAAACGATTTTCCTGCCCCAGACTCCCAAGTAGCTGGGATTATAGGCATGCACCACCAAGCCCAGCTAATTTTTGTATTTTTAGTACAGGTGGGGTTTCACCATGTTGTCCAGACTGGTCTCGTACTCCTGACCTCAGGTGATCCACCCACCTTGGCCTCCCAAAGTGCTGGGATTACAGGCATGAGTGCCCGGCCCATATATTTTCATTTTGTTAATAAGCATCCTTTATTTTAACCCAAAGAACTCCATTTAGCAATTCTTCAAAGGCTGGTCTAGTGGTGATAAATTCCCTCAGCTTTTGTTTGTCTAGGAAAGTTTTATCTTTCCTTTATTTCTGAAGGATAGCTTTGCTGGTTATAGTATTCATGGCTGAAAGTTGTTTCTTTCAACACCTTGAATGTATCAATCCACTCCCTCCTGGCTTGCAAGTCTATGTTGAGAAGTCTGTTAGCCTTATGGAGTTTACCTTGTATAAGTTTATTTTCTTTCTCTAGTTTCAAAATTCTCTGTAATTTTTGACAATTTGACTGTACTATTCCTCAGCGTATTCTTCTTTGGGTTTATCTTTCTTGGGATTCCTTGAGCTTCATGAATCTAGATGTTCATCTCCTTCCCAAGACTTGGGGAGTTTCAGACAGGGCTCTTTCTCCTTGGATTCTCATAATTTGTGCATTCATACACTTGAGGGCGTCCCCTAGGTTCCCTATGCTTTCTTCATTCCTTTTGTTGTTGTTGTTCCTCTAATTGGTTAATATTGAATGACCTGTCTTTGAGTTTTCTAATTGCTTATTCTGCATGATTGAGTCTGCTGTTGAAGCTCTCTATTACACTTTTCTTGACTGTATCCTTCAGCTTCTGGATTTCTGTTAGGTTCCTTTTTCGTGGTTACTATTTCTTTATTAAAGTCTCATTTTGTTCATGCAGTGTTTTCCTAATTTTATTTAGTTGTATATCTGTATTTTCTTGCATCTCATTATGCTTACTTAAGATAATTATTTTCAATTCTCTTTCAGGCAATTTGTAGATCTTCATTTATTTAGATTCAGTTGCTGGAGCTTTATTAGTTTCCTTTGGTGGTAGGATGTGTGCCTGATTCTTCATTATCCATGTAGATTGGCTTTCGTGTCTGCATTTGAAGGCACAAGCACCACTTCTAGTCTTTATAGATTGCTATCAGTAGGTTAAGAACTTCTATTAGGCTCTCAAGTTAATAAGATTGCCTCTGGGACCATGGTTGGAGCTGGGTCACATGGTTGCTTCCGTGTCTGCAGTGGGGTCTGCAGATGGCAGGCCTGTTACCAGGAGCTCTAGTGGGTATGGATCCTTTCTGGTCCCTAAGGAGATTAGAATGTTTCTAGGACCTTGTTCCAGGGCTGGTGCTTGGATGAAGATCCACTTGAAGGTCTGCAGACAGTGGGCCTGATACTAGGTATGCAGCCATGTATGGCTTCCTCTGTGTCCTGGGACGCTTCCTATTGGGTCACTTACTGGGTCTCTTGGCAGGCAGTACTATCCTGGTCCATGGCTGAGAGAGAACACAATGAAGTCACAGGGTTATTTCAGTGTCCACAGCCAGACAGAGGTCAGCAAGCCTTTTCCACAGACTCAGACAGGCACATCTCTCTCTGGGTGCCTGTGTCATAAGCAGTACTAATCTCTGACCATTATTGGGAGGCGCTGGAGCCAAGTGTCACAACTATTTCAGAGTCTGCTGTGGAACTAAGGTTGGCAAAATGGCCCTGGGGACTTAGGTGGGTATGTCTCCTTCTGGGACCCTATGCCACCAGCAGGACTTCTGATTTCTGACCACTGCTGAGAGGGGCTGCAGTCAAGTTTCAGAGCCATTTCTGAGTACACTGTGGGGACTGAGGTCAGCAGGTCTGTCACCTTGAAGCATAAATGGGTGTGACTCCTCACAGGTCCCTGGGCTAATGGTTCTAGTAGCAGGACTAGGGCCAAACAGGACTCAGAGCTGAGTCAATAGGGAAAATGGGTCATTTGCAGATGGGCCAGCAAGGGCAGTTCTGCCCTCTCAAAAGGCCCTCTTTAGGCCAGGTGCAGTGGCTCATACCTGTAATCTCAGCACTTTGGGAGGCTTGCTCGAGCCCAGGAATTCAAGACCAGCCTGGAAACATAGGAAGACCCTGTCTCTAGAAAAAAATAAAAAAAATTAGCTGGGCATGGTGGAACACACCTGTAGGCCTAGCTACTTAAGAGGCTGAGATGGGAGGATTGCTTGAACCCAGGAGTTTAAGGCTACAGTGAGCTGTGATCATGTCACTGCACTCCAGCCTGGGTGGCAGGGTGAGACCCTGTCTCAAAGAAAAAAAAGAAAAGGCCCTCTTTGGTCTTGGGCTGCACCAGGTTTTCACAAACTCCTACCTGGATCCCAAAGCTTAACAAAGGAACTTTTGTCTGTGGATGCCTGTTAAATTACTATTGCTGTAGAGGGATGTCTTGTCAACATCACTCTGCTATTGTTTTTATTTGGAGGTTTCAAGTATGGTTAAAGTGTAAATAAGGCTGGGTACAATAGCTTACATTTGTAATCCCAGCAATTTGGGAGGCCAAGGCCAGTGGATCACCTGAAGTCAAGAGTTCAAGACCAGCCTGGCCAACATAGTGAAACCCTATCTCTACTAAAACTATAAAAATTAGCTGGGCGTGGTGGCCTGTGCTTGTAACCCCAGCTACTTGGGAGTCTAAGGCAGGAGACACACTTGAACCTGGGAGGTGGAGGTTGCAGTGAGCCGAGATCGTGCCACTGCACTCTAGCCTGGGGAAGAGAGTGAGACTCTGTTTCAAAAAAAAAAAAAAAAAGTGTAAACGAATGCTAAATTGATAATGGGTAGACTGTGGTTTGTACTGTATTAACTTAGTTAAGCTGGAATTATGTTTCTCAGAATCTTTTTCTATGTATAGTTCTTGGCTAAAGCTGGCCTAAAGAGGCATTTGTGCAATATTTGGAAAGCAGAATCTAAGCAGAGGCCATTATTCTGTGAAGGTAATCTGCGTACATGTGGAAACAGACTATAGAGAGGCCAGTGGATTCTGGTTTGTCCTTACTCCTCCGCCCTATGTCCAGTTCTTTTCAGTGTCCAGTTCTTCCAACTGCTGATCCTGTTGGCAAACAATGGCCCTGGGTCTGCTACAAGATGCTTGGCAGCACAGTGTCAAAGGCAGTTGCGAGCTGGGTGCAGTGACGTGCTCCTGTAGTCCCAGCTACTTGGGAGGCTGAGGCAGATTGCTTGACCCAGTTCAGTTGTAACCTGAGCAGAATAGTGAGACTGTCTCAATAAAATAAAATAAAAATAAAATAGGCTGAGCACGGTGGCTCACACCTGTAATCCTAGCACTTTGGGAGGCTGAGGTGTTTGGATCATGAGGTCAGGAGTTTGAAACCAGCCTGGCCAAGATGGTGAAACCCCGTCTCTACTAAAAATACAAAAAAATTATCCAGGTGTGGTGGTGGGCGCCTGTAATCCCAGCTATGTGGAAGGCTGAGGCAGAGAATTGCTTGAACCCAGGTGGCGGAGGTTGCAGTGAGCCAAGACCATTGCCACTGCACTCCAGCCTGGGTGACAGAGCAAGACTCTGTCTCAAAAAATAAAAATAAAATAAATAAATAAAAATAAAATAAATTTTTAAATGTTATCCCATATTTCCAGGCTAGGAATCACGGAACTAGGTTGTACACCCAAAGGCAGTCGCTGCTGAGGCACAGCTTCCAGTAAACATTCCCACAAGCCTTCCCTCTACAGTCTTACTGTGGCAGTTGGACACTGGTTTCTCTAGTTATTCACTTTAAAAAAAAGTTTTACTTTTTATTCTTATTTATTTACTTTTTTTTCAAAAGATCTCTTGTTCAGAGTTTCAGATTATCTTGCTGGTGACTCCTTCTCTGATTCTCCAATTTCTCTCCTTAAACTTCACTTCCTTTGTTCCTCTTACAATTGCGTAAGATATAATAATTCCAATAATAAATCTCTTACCCCAATCCGAAAAGTAGTTCTTCCCTCACTGAACCTTGACTGGTAGAAATAGGGAAAGTCCTGATGGAATTTGAACCTGTTACACCTGTTCCTGAGACCAGGTTACAACCTTGTACTTCCTACATTTAGTTGTTCAAACATTATTTGGATTCTGTTTAAGAAACAAAATTTTTCTCCTCAAGCTAACTTGAGTTGCTTTTCAGGTATATGTAATCAAAAGATCTGTAATTAATACCCTATGTCAATGTCAACTGTGGGTCTCTTACATTTCTGCATGTCTGTGAGCAGAAACAGATTGCCTATGTTCCAAACTATCTTTTCAAGGATGTTCATATAGTGAACAACCCTGGAAGACAGAGACAGTGGCTCCCTCTGGTACAAAGGGCAGGTATGCATTACCGTCCATTTGAAAATATTTGGTTCCCTAAACTCCTTCCTGTAATGCAACCCACTCTTGGTGCAGGCATTATCTTGACCCTCTTTCACATCAGCCTGCAGGAACAGCAGGCCCAGGAAATAATGCAAAAGGATGTCAAAAATGATGATAACTCTGACTACTGTTATTGCTATGAACAATAAACTGCCTCTTGTTTCTAACGCAAAAGACATGAAACTATTGCAGGATACCTTGTCAGCTTGCATAAAGAGTGAAATCTCAGATCCTTTATAGTTCTTGAAAATGAGATTACTCTAGACTGGCATAATTTCGTAAGTATTGTTCACAGGACTTTTCAAATAGAACAGTGTATATACCTATGATATGGAGTAAGATTTTAATAAACAAGTAAATGTGTTAAGTTTTTAGGAAATACATTCCATTTATGGCCAGGCGTGGTGGCTCACGCCTGTAATCCCAGCACTTTGGGAGGCCTAGGTGGGTGGATCACTTGAGGTCAGGAGTTCAAGACCAGCCTGGCCAACATGGTGAAACCCCGTCTCTACTAAAAATACAAAAATTAGCTGGACGTGTTGGCACATGTCTGTAGTCCCAGCTACTCAGGAGGCGGAGGCAGGAGATATCGCTTGAACCTGGGAAGCGGAGGTTGCAATGAGCTGAGATCACACCATTGCACTCTAGCCCGGGTGACAGAGTGAGACTCTGTCTCAAAAAAAAAAAAAAGAAAGACATTCAATTTATTATATTATTATGGGATAACAATTACTTTATATGCATAAATCTATTTATAATTTGTAATATAAACAAGAATTTGGTCAGGCATGATGCTTTGATTGTAGGAATAGAAACAAAGGTCTTTCTAGTTTATACCAAAAGGGGGATTTCTTATAAAATTACAAGGGTTCCTTAACAAAGCCAAGAACAACAGTTGAAGCTAGGCCTTCGGGACTGTGGCCATTAATACAAATCAAATCTTGCTAGTTTAAGCAAAAAGGGGATTTTATAATTAGGATACAAGAATACCTTACCAAGCCAAGAGTAGGCTTTATAGCCATACTTCATGAAGGCTGGGACAAGGGAAGAGAGCATTGTTAGAAAGCCAGAAATCACATTCTTCTAATCTCTCATCTCCAGTTTTCATTTTGCAAATGTTTCATTGCTCCCTCACTGCAGATTTGGTGTTTTTGGTTTTTTTTTCCTTCCTAAGCCACATGGTAGGAATGGCAACCCATAGTTCCCCAGTTTGTATTTCCTCTATTCCAGAGAAGAGTCAGATGAAAGCCAGAATCTCTTATCTCCAATCCCAAATTCCTAGGGAAGTTTTAGGACATCACCAAAATTAGAAATAATTTCCTTCTCTGGGATCGAGAGTAAAACAGGTTTCAGGGTGCCAAGAGACAGAGGCCAATTAAAATTTTTGTTTTTACTGCTCCTTAAAGAGCTTGAGCTTACTTAGATTTAGGTGAGGATAGCAATAGATGTGCTAGAACCCATAGCACGCTGTGTAAAAATGACCAGGTGCTTCAAAAGAGAGAGTGGTTCTAACTCCTTTTACATTTGCTCTTGGGATAGGAATGATAGGCCTGGGTAATGCTATTATGTTATTTGAGGGAAAGTTCATTGCATTTATTGTAGGAGGTATGATTTATCTCTCAGGAAGGTATGAATAGGTCTTAGTATGGGTAATTTAAGCACAAAAGCTAATATACTTGTTAATGAGTCGTTTTTTCCCAAGGGGATTAATTTCATGGAGAATGTTTAGGAAAAAAAAGAAAAAAGAAAAGATTACATAGCGAGTGTCAGACATCCCTCAGAACTGTAAATAGAAATTTGACCAAGGGTCTCATAGACTGGAGAGAAACTCTAAATCATCCAGTGTGAGTCAGGTGCCTGCAAGCATTTTTATCACAGTAGAGTGAGGGTGAGGAACATTCTGAGAAATAGAGATAGGAAAGGAAAATGAAAATTATTTTCTAAATTCTTTTTTTTGAGACAGGGTCTCACTTTGTTGCCCAGGCTGCTGGAGCGCAGTGGCATATTCTCAACTCATTGCAGCCTCAACCTTCAGGGCTCAAATGATCCTCCCACCTCAGCCTCCCAAGTAGCTGGGACTACAGGCATGTGCCACCACACCAGGCTAATTTTTGCATTTTCTGTAGAGACTGGGTCTCACTATGTTGTCCAGTCTGGTCTCAAACTCCTGGGCTCAAGCAATCTGCCCACCTCAGCCTCCTAAACTGCTGGGACTACAGGCATGAGCCACTGTGCCTGGCCTCTTTTCTGGATTCAGCATTTCAAGCTATCTTGCAGGAGCAAAATTATACTGCTTACTAAAAGCATAACATGGTAATATTTGAATTGTAAGTAATTTATGTGTTTTAAATTCAGAAAAACTGATATTCCTCCCAGCCCTACCCACACTGAAATAAAATTGAAAACATCAAAAGTATAAGGAAATGCTGTGGATATTTTATTCAAAAATATATATTTTTTTCTGGCCAGGCGCAGTGGCTCATGCCTGTAATCCCAGCACTTTGGGAGGCCAAGGCGGGTGAATCACTTGAGGTCAGGAGTTCGAGACTAGCCTGGCCAACATGGTGAAACCTCATCTCTACTAAAAATACAAAAATTAGCTGGCATGGTGGTAGGCGCCTGTAATCCCAGCTACTCAGGAGGCTGAAGCAGAAGAATCGCTTGAACCCTGGAGGTGAAGGTTGCAGTGAACTGAGATCACACCACTGCACTCTAGCCTGGGCAATAGAGCGAGACTCAGTCTCAAAGAAAATATATGTATTATTTTTGTGCTGAAGATTTTTAAATGTTTTTCTCCCGTTTGTTGACATACACTCATTTTATTTAATATGTCTTTGGATGAGATACAATAAGTTAAGCTTAATGTTCATGACATCACTCTAGTTCTTCCTAATTTTGTTTCTAGAAATAAGAACCAGCAAGGGAAGTAGAGCCGCTCTATGGTAAAGAACAAAAAAAGCAATATTAGCATGGACATGTTAAGAGACTCAGAAGCTGATTGTATACAAGGTTTCAAAAGAAAAAAGTCATTCAGTATTATGTTGAAGGTTTTATATTTCAACCTCTGTGTTTCTTCATGAACATTTTCCCTTAATGTAGTCATCTTTTTGATGGTCATAAAGTGTCATTCAGTACACTTTCAGTACCCTCTTCTAATGAAATGGTTGACAGGTATGAAAATACTTTTTCCATTAGAGGTTCCCCGAGAGAAGGCATTGGAGAGTTCCTTTTCACTAGAGAATCATCAGAAAACCAGTCATCAGCTGCTTCTATACTTTGGCTGTAATAAGAATCAGATGGTAATGTTGATAAGCTTAATGTAACACTGCTGCGATTTGTTGTGGAGCTGGTCTCTGAGGGATCACAAATGATATTTTTTGTTGCAAGTTGGGGTTCATCTTTAGAATGATCTTTAATTGCTGTAAAAACAGATTTACTATGAATATTATATATTCACAAGCCAACTCTTAATTATAAGGACAATGTCAGAATGGGCAGGATAATGCTATAAAGAAATTCTGAGTTGCTATCATCCACACAGTGTTATATGTAATTAGGAATTAGCAATATTTTCATGATAATCAAGAATAGAAAAGACTATTCTAAATGAAATCAACCTGCTTAAACAGAAAAAGACTAATTAGGCTAGAAATGTTTCAAAATGTTCCTTAAAATCAGAAAAGACTGATTGCCTTATTTTAAAAATAAATTTTAACAATACTGGTATAATTAATAAACTATCATTTTTCACTTATTCAATTTGTGTAAATATTGCATTACAAATTCAACTTTCTGAGAAATAATTATTTATGATATTAGAAATAACTACTACAGTAATCTTTAAAACTCAAAACCAAGCAAAAAACATTTGTAATATACATAGTTTCTACTTGGAGCAAAGGATTTTATAACTAATTTGTTTCACTTTAAAATAAGGACAACTAAACATCAAAAAAGAAAAGTACATGCCTCCTTAAGCATGTATTAGAAAATACTTGGTCTGCATTGGGAAGGGTGTATGAATTGGCTTTATACCAATAATAGTAACAAATCTTCCTGTAGAGACTTTCAATTTACAAAGCATTTTGATATACTTCTATATATTATTTATACTCTTAATAATTCTTCAAGGTAGTTACTATTAGCACCACTTCACGAAAATAATAAACAGACTTAGATAAATGACCCATTACAGATCAGATACAAAATAGATTTTAGCCACCTAGATTTTCATTAGTTTGTCTCATGCTTTTCCCATTATAGTATTTAGGCTGCACATTTGCCATTAAAATATGCTGTTTTAGAAAATATAATATCTATACAATATTCTATAATACCTTTTATAACATTTTACATATTAACTTTTCTTTTTAAAAAATTTATGTATAAGGCCATTCTTGCAAACATACTAACTTTTTTTTTTTTTTTTGAGACAGTCTTGCTCTGTCACCCAGGCTGGAGTGTATTGGTGCAGTCTCGACTCACTGCAACCTCCGCCTCCTGGGTTCAAGAGATTCTCTTGCCCCAGCCTCCCAAGTAGCTGGGATTACAGGCCTGCGCCACCACATCCAGCTAATTTTTATATTTTTAGTAGAGACAGGGTTTCACCATATTGGCCAGGCTGGTCTTGAACTCCTGGCCTCAAGTGATCTGCCCACCGCGACCTCCCAAAGTGCTGGGATTATAGGCATGAGACACCACGCCTGGTCTAAACATATTAACTTTTGTATTTTCTACATTTTTAAAGCTCTGCAAAATATCTTGTTATATTTTATATTCAGCATCTCTAAAATTATGTAAGAGGTAATGTTTTGAGGTACTAAGATGTAATATGCAACATCTTTTTATCCTCAAGCATTACTATATGACATTGACTATGATACCTTTGAGTACAAATAAGAGATAAAAATTAAAACTTCACATTTTAGTTTAAGATACGATATTGCAAGTTTTGTTTTTTCTAAAAAATTTATGCCCTTTTACATACTAATAAATTAATGTTTCCCTTACAGTTTCATACCATTAAGATATTTAGATGACATTTAGGATAGCCTCTTGATTTCTCAAGATGTGAATTGCTAAAGTTCATTAAGATTTCTTCTAATAAATTATTGAGAAAAAATACCTTTTATATGTGCTGCTTCCTTTTTTCTTTGCTCCTCCTACATTAAAAAAAGTTATTTGTGTTTTAAAATCAGAATAATTTTTATATAACTTCTTTCATATATTTTATATGAGAGTAATACAGTTTAACATTATAATTTTTTAATGGAAAATGTTTCTTTCCACAGTATGAATTTCTTTCACCAAAATATATTGACAGAAAAGAAAAAGTTGAAGTATCATCTGAAATGAATTTGGATTGGTCCAAAAAGGCAGTCTCCAGAATAAGGAATAACAGTTCAAATAGGATTCATTCTCTCCATCCTCAGCAACTTGGTCAGAACTAGAGAATGCTAAAAAATAATTAGAATTCCTAGACTTGTTTAATGAACTAACAGCAAAAATAACAAAAAAGTGAATTCTGGTTGAAGGTCTTTATAAAAATGGGATTATTATTATTATTATTATTATTATTTTAGAGACAGGGTCTTGCTCTGTCACCCAGTCTGGAGTGCAGTGGCATGATCATAGCTCACTGCAGCCTTGAACTCCTGGGCTCAAGCGATCTTCCTGTCTCAGCCTCCTGAGTAGCTGGACTGCAGGTGTGCGCCACCATACCTGGCTTGGGAATATTTTTTTATAGCAAATAAAGCATTGCTTAAACAATACATTCCAGATATGTTCTGGGAAGTATAGTGTTGTAGTAGTTCTCAAACTTTAGGGGATTAGAATTACCGGATGTGCATGTTAAAATTCTGATTCTTGGTTATAATATCAGACCCTACTGAAACAGATTCTCTAGAAGTGGGCTTGGGAGTATACACTGTAACACATTCTGCAAGTGATTCAAATTCAGGTTTTTCTTAGATCACTAGATAAACAATAGGCAAAAGCATAGAGCGTTTGGGATGGAGTGAGTGATGATGAAGCTGGAGAGATAATAGTATCACGTCTTATGTTCTGGGAGAAAATGTGTCAGTGCTCTGTGCTGATCTGCATTTGCCTGTCTCCCAAAAAAGCTTATTTAGGATACTTTTATTCATTTTGTTAGAATAACTCCCTTTTTTTCTGAGACAGGGTCTCATTCTGTCACCCAGGATGGGGTGCAGTGGCATGATCACAGCTCACTGCAGCCTCAACTTCTGGGGCCCAAGTGATCCTCCTGCCTCAGCCTCCTGAGTAGCTGGAACAACAGGTGCATGCCACCATGCCTGGTTAATTTTTTAAATGTTTTGTACAGATGGGGTCTCACTTTGTTCCCAAGGCTGGTCTCAAACTCCTGGGCTCAAGTGATCCTCCCACCGTAGCCTCCCAAAGTGCTGGGATTACAGGCACCCAACCAGCACTTTTTACAAAGCCAACTTTAATTCTTTGTCACTTTCACCTTTTATTAACAAATGCCAGTATGGGCTTCCTGGCCTTACCTTGGCTAGATTTAAGACCAATTCATTCTGTGACTCCTGTATAAATTACTTTAGAATATTGCTTCTCAGACTTTGATGTGCTGACAGATTACCCTGGGAGCTTGTTAAAATGCAGATTCTGACTCGGAAGGTCTGGAATGGGGTATAAGAGTCTGCATTTCTAATAGGCTCGCCTAGGTAATGTTGATATTGCTGGTCTGGGAACCAAAGATTAAGGCCCTAGACTGATTAAAATTCTACCCAAAATAAGGGAATGCCGAATGGGCATTCTTATATACTGCTACATGTACACAGGTAGAATTTTTTCTAGTGAAACTTAATAAACCCACTTCTAGAAATTTATTATGCCAAGTAAATAATTTCGGTTTTGTATAAACATTCAGCTACCAGGATATTCACCCAACATTGTTTTTTAAAACCCGCAATTTGAAACTCCAAGCTTATGGCTGGGTGCAGTGGCTCACGCCCAGGAGTTAGAGACCAGCCTGGGCAACATAATAAAACCCCATCTCTACAAAAAATACAAAAATTAGCTGGGCATGATGGCGCATGCCTGTAGAGCCAGCTACTCTGGGGGTTGAGGCGCAAGGATATCCTGAGCCCAGAAAGTCATGCGTGCAGTGAGCCGCATCAAGCCACTGCATTCCAGACTGGGTGACAAAGCAAGACCTTGTCTCAAAATAATTAATTAATCAATTAATTTTTATAAAATCCCGAGTAAGGAAATAGTTAAATGCATTATGATACATAGATATTAATACAATGCATATTCTTTCAACTGTTAAAAATGATGCTACATATCAGTAATTATGGAATAATTCAAAAAATGATGGGAACATATCAAAAAGACAGAAGAACAATCTTGAAGCAGTACCTACTAACTAAATTTGGGAAAATTTGGGCATCTAAATAATGGTAGTAATGGATTATAATCTGCTGAATGAAATAGAAATCCACGAATCCGTAGTGGTAATAAAATAACAGAGAAGGGACAGCTGCTTCCTTACATTCATAGAAAGCTAAATGACAATTGTGGATGGGAATGGCAGAGTTGGAAAATCACCATTTTGCTACAGTTTAGTTAAGATTTACTCAGGCGCAAGTAATTTGTATAGCTAGAGAGTAAAGTCTGATAAAAAGAAGGATATTCGTATGGTTTCAAAGTGTCTTCACACAGGTCGTTTATTAATCGCAAGGGTAAAAAATAGAAATAATACAGTGTGGCAAAAACAAAAAACAAACATCTTGATTGTGCGATCAATCTAAAATCTCTAATTAATAATACTCAGGAGTGAGGCTGGGCACGGTGGCTCACATCTGTAATCCTAGTACTTTGGGAGGCTGAGGCAGGTGGATCCCCTGAGGCCAGGAGTTTGAGAACAGCCTGGCCAACATGGTGAAGCCACATCTCTACTAAAAATACAAAAATTAGCCAGGCATGATGGTGCATGCCTGTAATCCCAGCTACTTGGGAGGCTGAGGCATGAGAATCTGGGAGGTGGAGGTTGCAGTGAGCCAAGATTGCACCATGCCACTCTAGCCTGGGCCACAGAGTGACTCTGCCTATAAATAAAAATCAAAAAACAAAACCAAAAAATAATAGCAGGAGTGAACAAGAGAATATCACTACAGATACCAGATACATTAAATAAATAATAAAGGAATATCATGAACAACTTTATACTAATAAATTAGACAACTTAGTTGATGTGGAAAATCCCTTGAAAGGCACAAATTACCAAAACTCATTCAAGGAGAGATAGTAACATGAATAGCCCTATGTCTACCAGAGAAATTGAATTCATAGCTAAAAACTTCTCCACATTGGAAACTCTAGATGACTTCACTAGTGAATTATACCAACCATTTGGTGAATAATTTACACCAATTCTATATGCAATTGAAAAAGGCAAAAATCCACAGATAAACACTGTATGCCTTCAGATGTGATAAATTAAATGTGATCATGAGGAAAAGCCAAATTGAGGAGCCACCTATTATGTATAAAATAACTGTCGTGGACTTTCAAAAATGCCAATGTCATGAAAGATGAAGAAAAGCTGAGGAATTGTCCCTAAATAAGGAAGACTGAAGAGACATGACAACTAAATGCAAATGTGATTCTAGGCTGGATCCTGTACTAAAGGGAAACAATTCTGTAAAGGACATGATTGGGATAATAGACAAAAATGGAATATGGATTTTAGATTATATGAAAACATTGAATCAATATTAAATTTCCCCAATTTGAAAACTAAGCTCTAAAAATATAAGCGAGTATTTGGGCTGGGTGCTGTGGCTCACACCTGTAATCCCAGCACTTGCACTTTGGGAGGCTGAGACAGGCAGATCACTTGAGGTCTGGAGTTTGAGACCAGACTGGCCAACATGGTGAAACCCTGTCTCTACTAAAAATACAAAAATTAGCTGGGCATGGTTGCGGAGGTTGCAGTGAACCAAGATGGTGCCACTGCACTCCAGCCTGGGCAACAGAGCGATACTCCATCTCAACAGAAAAAAAATTATATATATATGAGAGTATTTGAATCAATATTAAATTTCCCTAATTTGAAAACTAAGCTATAATAATATGAGAGAGTATCTTCATTCTTAGTATGTACACTGAAGTATTAAGGAGTGAAGGAAAAGAATATGCATTCTACTTTTAAGTGGTTCAGAAACAATAAAAATACACACCCATACACACATTTGACACAGTTCATAACTCCCACCTCTTAAACACCTTCTTCACTAGGCTTTTGGGACACCTCTTGGTTCTCTTTCTACCACACTGACTAGTGCTAAACCTCTAAAGTTTGGAGTACCTCAGGGCTAATTATAAGTACTTGATTTTTTTCTTTTTTTTAAGATGGGGTTTCACCCTCTCATCCAGGCTGGAATGCAGTGGTGCAATCACGGGCTCATGGCAGCCTCAACCTCCTGGGCTTAAGCTGATCCTCCCACCTCAGCCTCCCAAGTGGCTGGAACCAGAGGCATGTGCCTCCACACTCAGCTAATTTTTTTTTGGAGGTGTAGAGACAGGGTCTGTCTGTGTTGCCAAGGCTAGTCTTTAACTCTTGGGCTCAAGTGATCCTGCTGTCTTGGCCTCCCAAAGTACGAGGGTTATAGACATAAGCCACCATCCCTGGCCTTATCTCTTCTTAATATCACTGTACACACCTGTTCAACATAGCAAAACTTCAGTAGAGTTCTCGTTTCTCTAGTTTCCTAGAGGAAAATTTATTTCCTTGAAATATTTTTGTTCTCTTCACTTCTCCTTACTGAGATACAATAATTTACTTTGGGTGAGTCTGATCACTGATTCCTTTGAATTGGGTGGAGCTAACCTATCAAAAGTCTGAGCTCAGAAATAATGCAACTAGAGCAGAAATCAATAAAATAGAAAACAACAAAGAAAGTCAATAAAACAAGTATACAGTTCTTTGAAAATATTAATAAAATTGATAAAACTCTAGCCAGAACAATTAGGGTGAAAAAGGAAGAGAAAACAAATAAATATCAGAAGTGAGCAAGAGAATATCACTATAGATATCAGATACATTAAATAAGTAATAAGGGAATATCATGAACAACTTTATGCCAATAAATTAGACAACTTAGATGAAGTGGAAAATCCCTTGAAAGGCACAAATAACTGAAACTCATTCTAGGAGAAATAGGTAACATGAATAGCCCTATGTCTACCAAAGAATTTGCATTCATAGCTAAAAACTTTTCCACAAAGGACACTCTAGATGACTACTGAATTATACCAACCATGTGGGGAATAAACGATACCAATTCTACACAAATGAAAAAGGCAAAAATCCACAGATTCATAGAGCCAAACAAATCACAACCAACATTAAACATAAAGCAATCTAAACCTAAGATACACATTAGAAAAACTGAACAAAAACGAACTATGATTAGACTGCTAGTATTATTTCAGTGGCAACTATGAAAACCAGAAGGCATATTTTCCCTCTACTAAAAGAAAAGAAGTGTCAACCTAGAATCCATTGAAAGAAAGAGAATAAAAAATGTCATTTTCAGATGACCAAAACCTAAGTGAGTTTAGAACCAAAAGATACCCATTAAAATAAATTCTGAAGGATGTAATTTGCACAAACAGAAAAGTCATACCAGAATAACAGTTTGGTGTTTGAGGCGTGAGACAACGAAAGTGATCAATTTGTTGGTAAATCTAAGTAAACACTGACTGTATGGTACCTGTATGTAGTAGAGCGCATTACTGTTCCTAATTATTTGCCATTCTCAGTGAGCTAATTATACTTTTTTTGTATCACTGACATCAAGCTTGACTAAGAAATTTGCTTTGGCCAATAAAATATGAGCAGAAGTGACCACTTCTAGATAGAAGCTTTAAGGGCCAACACTGTGGTTCCACATCTCTCTTCTGTCACAAGGATAGGATGTTCTATAGAGACTTTCCCTTCAGCTTGGATACCAGAATGAAAAGAACATGCCAAGTAGAGCCAATGCTGACCCACAGATGATATGTAATGTGAGAAATAAACCTTTGTTGTTATAAAGCACTAAGATTTTGAGTTTGTGTGTTACTGAAGTGTTACTGAGAAAAATACAAAAACGATGATAATGGTTCGTACAAGTTTTAAAAAATGAAAGAATGAAAATCTAAGACAATAGCAACTCTAGGGGGCACCATTTATATTGTATTTCATATAAATAATTATCCTTGTCACACAACACTGTGAAGTAATAGATTTAATAGTTAAATATTTTCCTACAAAGGCAGTTTAAATCCAAGACTATTTGAGCCTAACAGACATTCAAAAAACAAATAGTTTTACTCTTTTACAAACTATTCAGAGTACAGAAAAAGAAGAAACCCTCCCCAATCATTTTCATTTTATGAACCTAGCATAACCTTGATACAAAGGTCTGACAGCACAGTATAGGAAAGAAAATTTGGACAGGTGCAGTAACTCATGTCTGTAATTCCAGTGCTTTGGGGAGGCCAAGGTGGGAGGGTCATCTGAGGTCAGGAGTTTGAGACCAGCTTGGCCAACATGGTGAAAGCCCGTCTCTACTAAAAATACAAAAATTAGCCGGGTGTGGTGGCGAGCACCTGTAATCCCAGCTATTCGGGAGGCTGAGGTGGGAGTATTGCTTGAGCCCAGGAGTTTGAGGTTATAGTGAGCTATAATCACACCATTCCACTGTAACCTGGTTGGCAAGAGTGAGACTCTGTCTCTGGGAAAAAAAGAAAAAGAAAAAAAAAAGAAAGGAAATTTGAGGCTGATTTCATTCATTTACAGACATGTAAAAAATGTAAGTAAAATATTAGCAAATCAAATCATCCATATGTAAAAGAAAAGACATCATGGCCTGGGCACAGTGGATCATGCCTGTAATCCCAGCATTTTGGGAGGTTGAAACAGGCGGACCACTTGAGGTCAGGAGTTCAAGATCAGCCTGGTCAACATGGTGAAACCCCACCTCTGCTAAAAATACAAAAATTAGCTGGGCATAGGGGCGCACACCTGTAATCCCAGCTGGTTGGGAGGCTGGGGCAGGAGACTTGTTTGAACCTGGGAGGCGGAGGTTGCAGTGAGCTGAGATTGCACCACTGCACTACAGCCTGGGCGATAGAGCAAGACTCTGTCTTAAAAAAAAAATTCTGGGCCAGCACGGTGGCTCACGCCTGTAATACCAGCACTTTGGGAGGTGAAGGCAGGTGGATCATGAAGTCAGGAGATTGAGACCATCCTAGTTAACACGGTGAAAGCCCGTCTCTGCTAACAATACAAAAAATTAGCTGGGCATGGTGACGGGCGCCTGTAGTCCCAGCTACTCAGGAGGCTGAGGCAGGAGAATGGCGTGAACCCGGGAGGCAGAGCTTGCAGTGAGCCGAGATTGTGCCACTGCACTCCAGCCTGGGCAACAGAGCAAGACTCTGTCTCAAAACAAACAAACAAATTCTGAAGATGAATGGTGGTGATGGTTGCACAACGTGAATACATTTAATGCTATTGAATTGTACACTTCAAAATGGTTAAAATAGTAAATTTTGTTATGTGTATTTTATCACAATTTTAAAAATAAAAATAAGTAATGTACAAACATAAATAAGATTTCTTTTTAATTTAAATATATATATATTTTTAACTTGTAGGTTCAGGAGTACATGTGCAGGTTTGTTACACAGGTAAACCTGTGTCTTGGGAGTTTGTTGTACAGATTATTTCATCACCCAGGTATTAAGCCTAGTACCCATTAGTTATTTTGTCCTGATTCTCTCCCTTCTCTCACCCTCCACCTTCTTATAGGCCCCAGTGTGTGTTGTTCCCCTCTATGTGTCCATGTGTTTTCAACATTTGGCTCTCCCATATAAATGAGAACATGCAGTATTTGGTTTTCTGTTCCTGTGTTAGTTTGCTAAAGATAATGGCCTTGAGTTCCATCCACGTTCCTGCAATGGGTATGATCTCATTCTTTTTTATGGCTGCATAGTATTCCATAATGTATATGTACCATATCTTCTTTATCCAGTCTACCACTGATGGGCATTTAGGTCGATTCCATGTCTTTGCCATTGTGAATAATGCTGCAGTGAACATACACATGCATGTGTCTTTATAATCTAACAATTTATATTCCTTTGGGTAATATCCAGTAATGGGATTGTGGGGTCAAATGGTATTTCTGTTTTTAAGCCTTTGAGGAATTGCCACACTGTCTTCCACAATGATTCAACTAATTTACACTCCCATAACAGTGTGTAAGAGTTCCTTTTTCTCTGCAGCCTCACCAGCATGTTATTTTTTATTTTTTATTTTTTTTTGAGACAGAGTCTCTGTCACCCAGGCTGGAGTGCAGTGGCATGATCTCAGCTCACTGCAACCACTGCCTCTTGGGTTCAAGTGATTGTCCTGCCTCAGCCTCCCAAGTAGCTGGAATTACAGGTGTGCACCACCACACCCAGCTAATTTTTGTATTTTTTAGTGGAGATGGGGTTTTGTCATGTTGGCCAGACTGGTCTCTAACTCCTGATCTCAAGTGATCCACCTGCCTCAGCCTCCCAAAGTGCTGGGATTACAGGTATGAGCCACCATGTCTAGCTTTGATTTTTTAGTAACAGCCATTCTGACTGGTGAGATGGTATCTCATTGTGGTTTTGATTTGCATTTCTCTCATGATCAGTGATATTGAACTTTTTTTTCATATGATTCATGGCCACATGCATGTCTTCTTTTGAAAAGTGTCTGTTCATGTCCTTTCCTCACTTTTTAATGGGGCTGCTTGTTTTTTTCTTGTAAATTTGTTGAAGTTCCTGACAGATGCTGGATATTAGACCTTTGTCAGATGCATGGTTTGCAAAAATTTTCTCCCATTTGTAGGTTTTTTGTTTACTCTGTTGATAATTTCTTTTGCTGTGCAGAAGCTCTTTAGTTAAATTAGATCCCATTTGTCAATTTTTGCTTTTGTTGCAATTGCTATTGGTGTCTTCATCATGAAATCTTTGCCCATTTCTATGTCCAGAATGGTATTGCCTAGGTGGTCTTCCAGGGTTTTTATACATTTGGGTTTTATTTACATTTAAGTCTTTAATCCGTCTTGAGTTAATTTTTGTACATGATATAAGGAAGGGGTCCAGTTTCAGTCTTCTGCATATGGTTAGCCAGTTATCCCAACACCATTTACTGAATAGGGAATTCTTCCCCCATTGCTTGTTTTTGTCAGGTTTGCCAAAGATCAGATCATTGTAGGTGTGTGGCCTTATTTCTGGGTTCTGTATTCTGTTCCGTTGATCTATGCGTCTGTTTTTGTACCAGTACAAAACAGTAGCTGTTTTGGCTACTGTAACTCTATAGCACAGTTTGAAGTGCAGCAGTGTGATGCCGCCAGCTTTGTTCTTTTTGCTTAGGATTTCCTTGGCTACTCAGGCTCTTTTTTGTTTCAGTGAGCTGAGATCACACCACTGCACTCCAGCCTGGGTGACAGAGCAAGACTCCATCTCAAAAAAAAAAAAAATCAAGATCAAAATAGAAATAATAAAATAAAATGATTTTTTTTCTAGTTCTATGAAGAATGTCAATAATAGTTTAATAGGAATAGCATTGAATCTATAAATTGTTTTGGGCAGTATGGCCATTTAAACAATATTGATTCTTCCTATCCATGAGCATGGAAGGTTTTTCCATTTGCTTGTGTCATCTCTGATTTCTTTGAGCAGTGTTTTGTAGTTCTTCTTATAGAGTTATTTCAACTCCCTGATTAGCTGCATTCCTAGGTATTTTATATTTTTTGTGGCAATTGTGAATGGGATTGCATTCATGATTTGGTTCTCAACTTGACTGTTGTTGGTGTATAGGAACGTTAGTAATTTTTGCACATTGAGTTTGTATCCTGAGACTTTGCCAAAGTTGTTTATCAGCTTAAGGAGCTTTTGGGCTGAGACAATGGGGTTTTCTAGATAGTGGAGCATGTCATCTGCACACAGGGATAGTTTGACTTCCTCTCTTCCTATTTGGATGCTCTTTATTTCTTTTTCTTGCCTGATTGCCCTAGCCAGGACTTCCTGTACTATGTTGAATAGGAGTGGTGAGAGAGGGCATTCTCGTCTTGTGCCTGTTTTCAAGGGCAATGCTTCCAGCTTCTGCCCATTCAGTATGATGTTGGGTATGGGTTTGTCATAGATGGCTCTTATTATTTTGAAGTATGTTCCTTCAATACCTAGTTTATTAAGAATTCTTAACATGAAGTTGTGTTAAATTTTATTGAAAGGCTTTTCGGCATCTATTGAAATAATCATGTTCTGTTTTGTTTTGTTTTTGACAGAGTTTCACTCTTGTTGCCCAGGCTGGAGTGCAATGGTGTGATCTCGGCTCACTGCAACCTCCGCCTTCCGGGTTCAAGTGATTCTCCTGCCTCAGCCTCCCGAGTAGCTGGGACTACAGGCATGTGCCACCACGCCCGGCTAATTTTGTATTTTTAGTAGAGATGGGGTTTCTCCATGTTGGTCAGGCTGGTCTTGAACTCCCAACCTCAGGTGATCTGCCCGCCTTGGCCTCCCAAAGTGTTGAGATTACAGGCATGAGCCACTGTGCCCAGTCCAATCATGTGGTTTTTGTCTTTAGTTCTGTTTATATGATGAATCACATTTATTGATTTGTGTATGTTGAACCAACCTTGCATCCCAGGAATAAAGCCTACTTGATCATGGTGAATAAGCTTTCTCATGTGCTGCTGGATTTGGTTTGCCAGTATTTTGTTGAGGATTGTTGCATCAATGTTCTTCAAAGATATAGGCCTGAAGTTTTCTTTTTGTTTTGTGTCTCTGCCAGGTTTTGGTATCAGGATGATGCTGGCCTCATAGAATGAGTCAGGGAGGAGTCCCTCCTCCTTAATTTTTTTGAATAGTTTCAGCAGGAATGGTACTAGCTCTTCTTTGCACATCTGGTAGAGTTCAGCTATGAGTCCATCTGGTCCTGGGCTTTTTCTGGTTGATAGGCTATTTACCACTGACTGAATTTCACAACTTATTATTGGTCTGTTCAGTGATTAAATTTCTTCCTGGTTCAGTGTTAGGAAGTATGTGTCCAGGAATTTATCCATTTCTTTTAGATTTTCTAGTTTATGTGCACAGAGGTGTCCATAATATTCTCTGATGGTTATTTGTATTTCTATGGGTCACTGGTAATATCCCCCTTGTCATTTCTGATTGTGTTTATTTGAACAGTCTCTTTTCCTCTATGTTAGTCTAGCTAGTGGTCTATTTTATTTTATTTTATTTTATTTTTTCAGAAAACCAGCTCCTGGATTCATTGATCTTTTGAATGTTTTTTTTTTGTGTGTGTCTCATTCTCCTTCAGTTCAGCTCTGATTTTGGTTCTTTCTTGTCTTCTGCTAGCTTTGGGATTTGTTTGCTCTTGGTTCTCCAGTTCTTTTAGTTTGATGTTAGGTTGTTAACTTGAGATCTTTCTAACTTGTTGATGTGGGCATTTAGTGCTATATGTTTCTCTTTTAATACTGCCTTAGCTATGTCCCAGAAATTCTGGTATTTTGCACCTTTGTTCTCATTAGTTTCAAAGAACTTCTTGATTTCTGCCTTAATTTCATTGTTTACCCAAAAGACATTCAGGAGCAGTATATTTAATTTCCATGTAATTATATGGTTTTGAGTGAATTTCTTAGTCTTCGTTTCTAATTTGATTGTGTTTTGGTCTGAGAGATAGATTGTTATGATTTCTGTTCTTTTGCATTTGCTGAGGAGTGTTCTACTTTTTTTTTTGACAGAGTCTTGCTCTGTCATCCAGAGTGGAGTGCAGTGGTGCCATGTCAGCTCACTGCAACCTCTGCCTCCCAGGTTCAAGTAATTCTCCTGCCTCAGCCTCCTGAGTAGCTGGGATTACAGGCACATGCCACCATGCCTGGCTAATTTTTGTATTTTTAATAGAGACAGGGTTTCACCCTGTTGGCCAGGCTGGTCTCAAACTGTCTGCTTTGGCCTCCCAAAGTGCTAGGATTACAGGCATGAGCAACTGTGCCCAGCCAGAGTGTTTTACTTCTGATTATGTAATCGATTTTAGAGTATGTGCCATGTGGCAATGAGAAGAATGTATATTCTGTTCTTTTTGGGTGAAGAGTTCTGCAGATGTCTATCAGGCCCATTTGATTCAGTGCTGAGTTCAGGTCCTGAATATCTTTGTTAATTTTCTGTCCCATTGATCTGTCTAATATTGTCAGTGGGGTGTAAAACTCTCCCACTACTATTGTGTAGGAGTCTAAGTCTCTTTGAAGGTCTCTAAGAACTTGCTTTATGAATCTGGGTGCTCCTGTGTTGGGTGCATAGATATTTAGAATAGTTAGATCTTCTTCTTAAATTGAACTCTTTACTATTATGTAATGCCTTTCTTTGTCTTTTTAAAATCTTTGCTGGTTTGAAGTCTGTTTTGTCTGAAACTATGATTGCAACTCCTGCTTTTTCTATTTTCCATTTGCTTGGTAGATTTTTCATCATTCCTTTATTTTGAGCCTGTGTATTGTTGCATGTGAGATAGGTCTCTTGAAGACAGCATATCAATGGGTCTTGCTTCTTTTTCCAGCTTGCTACTGTGTCTTCTAATTAAGGCATTTAGCCCAGTTGCATTCAAGGTTAATATTGATATGTGTGGATTTGATCCTGTCATCATTATGTTAGCTGGTTATTTTGCAGACTTGCTTACGTGGTTGCTTTATAGTGTCACTGGTCCGTATACTTCAGTGTTTTTGTAGTGGCTGGTAAGGGTCTTTCCTTTCCATATTTAGTGCTTCCTCCAGGAGCTCTTGTAAGGCAGATCTGGTGGTAATGAATTCTCTCAGAATTTGCTTGTCTGAAAAGGATCTTATTTCTCCTTTGTTTATGAAGGTTAATTTGGCCAGATATGAAATTCTGGGTTGGAATTTCTTATCTTTAAGAACATTGAATATTGGCCCCCAATCTCTTCTGGCTTGTAGGGTTTCTTTTGAGAGGTCTGCAGTTAGTCTGATGGGCTTTCCTTTGTAGGTGGCCTGACTTTTCTCTCTAGCTGGCTTTAACATTTTTTCTTTCATTTTGACCTTGGAGAATCCAATGATTATGTGTGTCTCGGGGATAATATTCTTGTGAAGTATCTTACTGGAGTTCTCTGTAGTCCCCTGAAAGAGATGGATGGTATCCTGAAATATGTTTTCCACATTGGTTCCATTCTCCCCATCTCTTTCAGGGATACCAATGAGTCATAAATTGGGTCTCTTTACATTATCCCATATTTCTCAGAAGTTTTATTCATTCTTTTTCATTCTTTTTTCTCTATTCTTGTTTGACTATCTAATTTCAGAAAGCCCATCTTCAAGCTCTGAGTTTCTTTCCTCTGCTTAGTCTATTCTGCTATTAATACTTGTGATTGCATTATGAAATTCATGTAGTGTGTTTTTCAGCTCTATCAGGTTTGTGAGGTTCTTTTCTATACTGACTATTTTGTCTGTCAGCTCCTGCATCGTTTTATCATGATTTTTAGCTTCTTGCACTGGGTTTCAATGCACTTCTGGAGCTCAGTAATCTTCATTAGTATTCATATTCTGAATTCTATTTCTGTCATTTCAGCCATCTCAGCCTGGTTCAGAACCTTTGCTGGAGAGCTGATGGTCATTTGGAGGAAAGAAGGCTCTCTGGCTTTTTGAATTGTCAGGGTTTTTGCACTGTGGGTTTATCTACCATCAATCTCTGAGGTTGCTGACCTTTGGATGTTTTCTTTTTCCTTTTCACCTATTTTATGACCTTGAGGGTTTTATTTTGGTATAAGGTGGATTCAGCCAACTGGCTTCATTTCTAGAATATTTTAGGCAGCCAATCCTCAGCTCCCAATTCCTAGACTGTGTGCTCTAACTCTAAGGTACTTGCACTGGGCCCTGACTTTGTTCTCTGGCTCAAGGTTGGGAATTCACTTTGCTGGGGGCGCCGAGGTGCTCTTGGACCACTGGTCACTACACTCTAATGGGTGGTGTCAGCCAAAGCATTTAGTAGTGTGGCAGCAGTGGGATCATTTCTATGTACTAGCCAGAAAACGACTATTTCTACTGGCCAGCAATCCATGGCCAATCATTGCTTATTTTAGGTTTAAATGTAGAAAGTTGTAAAAGACCATTGCTCTTACTCTAATGACACAAGCAATATGGATAAGCTTAACTATCTTTTTAAATTTTTTTTCTTCCTTTCTCTCTCTCTCTCTCTTTCTTTTTGCTAGAGATGATGTCTTGCTTTGTTGCCCAGGCTGGTCTCAAACTCCTGGGCTCAAATGATTTTCCCACCTCAGCTTCTCACACTGCTAGGATTATAGGTGTGAGCCACCAAGCCCAGCCAATAATCATCTTTTAAAAATAAAACAAAAAACGAAACTCCAGAAAGTGACAAACTCTTAATAAGAGAGAAGACATCTACAGTAGCTCTTACCACTGACTAAAATGGAGAAAGGAGGAGGAAGAGGAACTGCCATAGACAGGAGAAGAATTGCAAAAGCAATTCACAGATGCAAAGCAAAGCAATTCATTGTGTTTACTTTTTCAACAAATAATACTGGAACAATTAGACATGCGTACTGCCACAAATGAACCTTGACCTAAACCTCACACCTTATACAAAACAATTAACGGCTGGGCATAGTGGCTTACACCTGTAATCCCAGCACTTTGGGAGGCCAAGGTGGGCAGATCACCTGAGGTCAGGAGTTTGAGACCAGCCTGACCAACATGGAGAAACCTCCATCTCTACTAAAAATACAAAATTAGCCAGGCATGGTGGTGCATGCCTGTAATCCCAGCTACTTGGGAGGCTGAGGCAGGAGAATTGCTTGAACCTGGGAGGTGGAGGTTGCTGTGAGCCAAGATAGCGCCGCTGCACTCCAGCCTGGGCGACAAGAGTGAAACTCCATCTCAAAAGAGAAAAAGAAAAATTAACTAAAAATGGACCAAACATAGAAATGTAAGATGTAAAACTATGATAGTCAAAATAATCTTGAAAAAGAACAAAACTGGAAGGCTCATACTTCCTGATATTAAAATTTACTACAAAGCTACAATAATCAAGACAGCATGGTGTTGGTATGAGACATATACATCAATGAAATAGAACTCAGAGTCCAGAAATAAATGCTCACACTTACAGTCAACTGATTTTTGATAAGTGTGCTGAGACAATGGAATGGGAAAAAAAGACTTTTCTACAAATGATGTTGGGACAATGAGATATCCATTGCATGTGAATGAAATTGGACACATATATCATATATGAAAACACATAGTTTTAAATGGCTAAAATAAACAATATAGATAGTATCAAATGCCGGCAAGGATGCTTAGAAACTGCATTTCTTGGAGTGTAGTGGCACATGTCTGTAGTCTCAGCTACTCAGGGGACTGAGGTGGGAGGATCACTTGAGCCCAGGAGTTAAGAGTCCAGCCTGGGCAACATAGCAAGGCCCTTGTCTCTTAAAAAAAAAAAAAGAAAGAAAGAAACTGGATCTCTCATACATTACTGTTGGAAATGTAAAATGGTACAGTTACTCTGGAATGAAGTCTGACAGTTTCTTAAAAGTTAAATATACTCTTACCAGAAGCTGCATTCCTGGGCATTAAATATATGACCCAGAAACTGCATTCCTGGGCATTTATTCTAGAGAAATGAAAACTTATCTCTACAGAAAAACCTGTACATGAATGTTTGTGGCCCTTTATGTGCAAGCTGCAAACTGGAAACATCTCAAATATCCCTCAATGCATAAATGATTAAACTCTGTGATTTAATCATTAGTATAACACACAATGTTATACTACTCAGCCATGAAAAAGAACAAACTATTGATGCAGCAACTTGGAGGGATTGTATGGATATTATTATCGACTGAATGTATGTGTCAGCTCAAAATTCATACACTGAAATCTTAACCCTCAATGTGATGATATTAGGAGGTGGAGCCTTTGGGAAGTAATTAAGACATGAGGACTTGGACTCTCATGAATGGAATTAGTGCCTTTATAAGAAGAGATGTGAAAGTGCGCTCTTGCTCTCTCTGCTCCCTGCCATCTGAAAACACAGCAAGAAAAAGGCCATCTCCAAATCAGGAAGAGGGCCTTCACCAGAACCGGATCTTTCAGCATCTTGATCTTGGACTTCTCAGCCTTCAAAACTGTGAGAAATAAAAGTTGTTTAAGCCACCCAATCTATGTTATTTTTGTTATAGCAGCCTGAAATGAATAAGACAGGTATTAAACTGGGTCTCCCGGGGTGTGGTGGCAATTGTCTGTAGTCCTAGCTACTCAGGAGGCTGAGGTGGGAGGATCCCTTGAGTCCATGAGTTCAAGGTTACAGTGACCTATGATTGTGCCACTGCACAATCTCAAAAGAAAAGCCAATGTCAAAAGACCACATGTTACATGACTCCATTTATATAACATTCTGGAAATGATAAAATTGTAGAGATGGGCAACAGATCGCTGGTTGCCAGGAGCTAGGGAAAGGGAGGGAGGGAGTGATTATAAAGGGTAGCATGGGCTGGGTGCAGCGGCTCACACTCATAATCCCAGTGCTCTGAGAGGCCAAGGAGGGAGGATCACTTGAGGCCAGGAGTTTGAGACCCCATCTCTACAAAAAATTTAAAAATTTAGCTGCGTGGCCAGGCACGGTGGCTCTCGCCTGTAATCCCAGCACTTTGGGAGGCCGAGGCAGGTGGATCGCCTGAGGTCAGGAGTTTGAGACCAGCCTGGCCAACATGGTGAAACCCTGTCTCTACTAAAAATACAAAAATTAGCCAGGCATGGTGGTACATGCCTGTAATCCCAGCTACTCAGGAGGCTGAGGCAGGAGAATCACTTGAACCAGGAAGGCAGATGTTGCAGTGAGCCAAGATTGTGCCACTGCACTCAAGCCTGGGTGACCTCGCCAGACTCCATCTCAAAACAAAACAAAACAAAGCAAAACAAAAAAAGCAAAAAAAGCAAACAAAGTCAAACAAACTTTCCAGTTTAAAAAGTGGGTAAAAGACTGAAACAAGCAGGTCACACACACAAATATATACAGCTAGCCAACAAGCTCACCGTCTTTAGTCATCAGGGAAATATAAATTAAAAGCTATTTTATTTTATTTTATTTTAATTTAATTTTTGGAGACAAAGTCTTGCTCTGTCACCCAGGCTGGAGCGCAGTGGCACAATCTCTGCTCACTGCAACCTTTGCCTCCCAATTTCAAGCGATTATCCTGCCTCAGCCTCCTGACAAGCTGGGATTACAGGCAAGCACCACCACACCTGGCTAATTTTTTTTATTTTCAGTAGAGATGGGATTTCGCCATACTGGCCAGGCTGGTCTTGAATTCCTGATCTCAGGTGATCTGCCCACCTTGGCCTCCCAAAGTGCGGGGATTACAGGAGTGAGCCACTGTGCCTGGCTTTACACCCACTAAAATAGCTAAAATTAAAAATACTAATAACACCACCATATGTTGGCAAGTCCATGGAAAATTGAAACTCTCACTTATTGCTGGTGGGAGTGAAATAAGTTACAATCACTTTGGAAATCTGCTCAGCAGTTTCTTATAAATTTACATGTATGTCTCCCCAAGCCTTGACAATTCCAGGTTCAGGTACTTTCCCATGAAAAATGAAAATACAGGCTGGGCGCGGTGGCTCACGCCTGTAATCCCAGTGCTTCGGGAGGCCAAGGTGGGTAGATCACTGGAGGTCAAAAGTTCTAATCCAGCCTGGTCAACATGGTGAAACCTGATCTCTACTAAAAATACAAAAAGTTAGCTGGGCGTGGTGGCACGCGCCTATAGTCCCAACTACTCGGGAGGCTGAGGCAGGAGAATCGCTTGAACCCAGGAGGTGCAGGTTGCAGTGAGCTGAGATCACGCAATTGCATTCCAGCCTGGGTGACAGAGCGAGACTCTATCTCAAAAAAAAAAAAAAAAAAAACAAAGAAAAGAAAAATGAGAATATATGTTCACTAAAAGTATGTGGTTGTTTAGAGTAGCCTTATTCATAGTAGTCAAAAACTAAAAACAACCCAATATCCGTCAACAAGAGAATGCATAAAATGTTCCTATAATGGACTACCACTTATCAATAGAAAGAACAAAGTTCTAACACACACAATAACATGGGTGAGCCCCAAAACTTTTATTAAGTGAGAGTAATCAGACATAAAAGATATAATTTAATTTATATATAATTTAGGAACAGATAAAAACTAAACCTTGTCAGAAATCAGAAAGCTGCTGGGCGCAGTGGCTCACACCTGTAACCCCAGCACTTTGGAAGGCCAAGGCAGGTGGATCACCTGAGGTCAGGAGCTCGAGACTAGCCTGGCCAACATGGTGAAACCCTGTCCTACTAAAAATACAAAATTAGCTGGGCTTGGTGGCATGCGTCTGTAGTCCCAGCTATTCCGGGGCTGAGGCAGGAGAATCGCTTGAACCCAGGAGGCGGAGGTTGCAGTGAGCTGAGATTGCATCATTGCACTCCAGCTTGGGCGACAAGAGCGAAACTCCATCTCACACAAAAAAAAAAATGACAAAAAATCAGAAAGCTGATACCTGGGATGGGTAGAGGAATTGACTAGAAAGCAGACATGAGAGAATTTTCTTAGGTGATAAAAATGTTCTGTAGTTTGTTTTAGGTGTTGGTTGAATGTATATACAGCTGTCAATGTTCATTAAGTGGAATATCTAAATTCTTTGCATTCTATTGTAGGTAATTAATCTCAAAATATTTTAAAAATTGTATCAATAAAATATTTTTTAAATCACATTAATTTCACTTCAGTGGTATTCTTCCCCAAAATACATAACCCAAGTTATAAATAATGAAAAAAAAAATAAACAAACCCCAATTGAGGGACATTTTACAAACATGACCAGCACTCCTCAAAACTGTAAAGGTTAGGTTAAACAAGAAAGATGGAGATACAGTTACAGAGCAGAGGAAATTAAAGAAACAAATGCAATGTAGGATCCTGGATTAGGTCCTGAAATAGCAAAAGTACATTCACTTAAAAACTGGCGAAATCTAAATAACATCTGGAGTTTAGTTAATAATAATGTACCAGTGTTGGTTTCTTAGTTTTGACAAATATACTATGGTAACTTAAGATTTTAGCACTGGAGGAAAACTGGGTGAAGGGTATAGGAAAATTTTATATTATCTTCATGACTGTTCTATAAATCATAGATTATTCTAAAATTAAAAGGTTACTTAAAATCATTTCACAAAAGCACAAACATATACATTTTTCAGTAATACGAGTTGGGTGCAGTGGCTCATACCTGTAATAAGCACATTGGGAGGCTGAGGCAGGAGGCTCACTTGAGCCCAGGAGTTCGAGATTAGCCTCGGCAACACAGCAAGACTCTATCTCTACAATTTTTTTTTTAAAGTGGACATGGTGGTGTGTACCTGTAGTTCCAGCTACTCAGGAGGCTGAGGTAGGAGGATCCTTTGAGTCCAGGAGTTCAAGGTTACAGTGACCTATGATTTTGCCACTGCACTCCAGCCTGGGCAACGGAGCAAGACCCTGTCTCAAAAAAATTCCAGTAATAAAAACTAACAATGTAATTATAGAACCAGTTCACTCTGGTTATACTTTGTCAGTAGCAATTGTAACAAAATACTGAGTTTCTCAGTTGCAGTGGGCCCCCAGGTTGCAAGTCACACTTGAGCATGTCCAGATGAACCAATCATGCCTGATATGTGACCCAGAGCTGACCAGAATGGAAAAATTAACCACGTGCAGAACCTAAGTAACTTGAGTTGAGGAACAGGGACCCAATTAAGAAGTGAGGGGGTTCCCTGTTTTTGTTTTTTGTTTTTAGAGCTGGGGTCTCGCTATGCTGCCCAGGCTGGTCTTGAACTCCTGAGCTCAAGCAATCCACCCACCTCAGCAACCCAAAGTGCTGGGATTACAAGTATGAGCCACCGCACCTAGCTCCTGTTTTGCTGAAGTACAAATTTAAAACCCAATGACCTGGCACCTCCTCTTTGGGACCCAATCAGATCATGCCTAGTTACATTTTTCTATCTCCTTCATAGTTACTCTCTGTCTTTCAAATCTGCTCCCAGACTCCAGCTCAGGGTGACATATTTGAGCATTGCCTTCTAACTCCTTGCCCAGTTGACCTTACAATGAAGCTTTTTCTTTTCTAAAAAGCTGGTGCCATAGTATTGGTTTCTATGCATGTCAGACAGAATGCTCATTGCTTGGTAACAAAATAAGATGTGCAAGGCTTCTATAAAGTTAATTACAGCTGGGCATGGTGACTCATTCCTACAATCCAGCACTATGCCCCCTTTATAATTTAGGATAGGTTTACAAGGCCCTTCAAGAATATAGAAATAAAGTATTGCCTCCTCCTGGAAGACTTAGTGTTACTAAAAACTTAAAACTAAAAACCCTACTGCTATTAAACTTCAAGGGAATCACTAGCTGGATATATGTCCAGGATTAAGCCTGTTTCTTATAAGTCCTCACAAGCCTAAGAGGAGGATACCAGACTTATGTTTATAACCCCCTAAAAGACTGAAAGCTATTATTTCACAAATGCATAAATAGATAATGTGATGCTGTGGGTGGGCATTGGAGCATTAATTTTTCTCTTCCTTCTAATTCCTTTTCTTGTTTAACCTTCTAGTAAAGTTTATACTTTCTAGATTACACATGAAGATGATGCTGGCACAAGGCTTCCAACCGCATCCCATCTTTTGACCCTGAAAACAAAAACACCTTCCCGTTGGGCCCTTTGGGTAAGGTATCCAGAGATTTTTACTCCTCCAATGCTAGGCAGGGCCTATACCCATAAAATGAGCAAGAAGCAGTTACAGAAGATGGGCCTCTGCCCTTCCACAGACCCTTTAAGATTAAGGAAGAGTAATCTCTGAGGTGGGGAATGAGGTTAGGAAGCCAGCAGGACTTGTTTTCTGGTCACAACCCTGCTGACCAAAACAGGATCTTGTCCAGACAGAATAAAGTGAAGAAACCCATAGGAACCAGCAGATGGTGACAAAAGTGATCCCTAGCTGCCTTCATTGCTCATTAATACAAGACACTATCACCAGTGTCATGGCAGTGACCCAGAAGTTATGACCACTTTCCATGGCAATGACTCAGATATTACTGCCCCTTTCCTAGAAAGTTCTAAGTAATCCATTCCTCCATTTGCATTGATCCACTCCTTAATTTGCATGTAATTGAATGTGGGTTTACTGAGTATAATCACAGTTGATAAGAGCCCATAGGTTGCTGTCTCTGGATGTGCTGCCTATGAATTAGCCCTGATCTGCAAAGAGCAGTAATGTTCAACAAAAGATTGCTGTCCAACACCACCAGCTTGCCCTTGAATTCTTTCCTGGCTTTCTCCTAGGCTAAACCCCAGTTTTGAGGCGGCTGCCCTGCAACAAAAACACACCTTAAAAATAGTGCAAAGAGGCCAGGTACAGTGGCTCACGCCTATAATCCCAGCACTTTGGAAGGCCAAGGTGGGCGGATCACTTGAGGCCAGGAGTTCAAGACCAGGCTGGCCAACATGGCGAAACCCTGTCTCCACTAAAAATACAAAAATTAGCCGGGCATGGTGGCGGGCGCCTGTAGTCCCAGCAACTTGGGAGGCTGAGGCAGGAGAATGGCGTGAACCCAGGAGGCGAAGCTTGCAGCAAGCCGAGATCACGCCACTGCACTCCAGCCTGGGCAACAGTGCGAGACTGTCTCAAAAAAAAAAAAAAAAAAAACAAACTACAGTGAAATACCAAGAGATACAAGCCATGGGCTGGGAAAAAATATTTGCAAAGTACATATCTGATAAAGGATTATTGCTCGCTCTCTCTCTCTATATATATATATAATGTGTGTGTGTGTGTGTGTGTATATATATACATGTGTGTATAAAATATATATTTTAAACTTGTTATATATAAGTTCTTTAAAACTTACATTCTTTAAAACTCAGCAATAAGAAAATCAATAACCTAATTAAAAATGAATGAAAGATCGAACAGACACCTCATCGAAGAAGATAGATAGCAAATAAGCACATGAAAAGGTGTTCAACATCACATGTTACTAGGGAATTGCAAATTAAAATGAGATACCACTACACATTTGTTAGAATGGTGAAACTCCAAAACACTGACAACAACAAATGCTGGTGAGAATGGGGAACAACAGGAACTCTCATGCATTGCGGGTGGAAATGCAGAGTGATATACTTTGGAAGAAAAATTGGCACTTTCTTATTAAACTACACACACTCATACCATAAGATCCCATAATTGTGTTCGCTGGTATTCATGCAAATAAGTTGAAAATTTATGTTTATACAAAAACCTCCACACATATGTTTATAGCAACTTTATTCATAATTGCCAAAACTTGGAAAAAACCAAAATGTCCTTCCATAGGTGAATGGATAAATAAACTATGGTATACAATGGAACATTATTCCGTGCTAAAAAGAAATAGGCTAGGCTATAGTTTCAATATTTGTCCCTCCAAAACTCATGTTGAAACTTAATCCACACTTAATCCACAATGTGGCAGTATTCAGAAGGTGGGGCCTTTAAGAAGTGATTGGGTCATAAATAGATTAATCCATTAATGGCTTAATGGATTAATAGATTAATGGGTTATCACAGGAGTGGGACTAGTGGCTTTCTAAGAAGACAAGAGACTTGAACTAGCACACTCAGCCCCTTCACCATGTGATGCCCTATGCCACCCCAGGACTTTGCAGAAATCCTACCAGAAAGAAGGCTTTCACCAGATGTGCCCCTCCTTGACCTTAGACTTCCGAACTCCAGACTGTAAGAAATACATTTCGTTTTTAATAAATTACCCAGTTTCAGGTATTCTGGTATGAGCAACAGAAAACAGACTAAGACAGGCCATCGAGCCATGAAAATACATGGAGAAAGCTTAAATGCACATTGCTAAGTGAAAGAAGCCAATCTGAAAAGACTACATATTGTGTGATTCCAACTATATGACAAATGTGCCTATTCTGGAAAAGGCAAAAACTTTGGAAACAGTAAAAGGATCAGGGGTTGCCAGGGGTTAGAGCAGAGGGAGGGATAAATCAGAGAAGCACAGAGGACTTTTAGGATAATGAAACCATTCTGTATGATACTGTAATGACATGATTGCACATTTGTCAAAACCCATAGACTACATAATACCAAAAGTGAACATTATTGTAAACTATGAATTTTGGATTATTATGTGTCAATGTGGGTTCATCAATAGTAGCATATGCACCTCTCTGGTGTAGGATGTGGATAGTTGGGGAGGCTGTGCCTGTGTGGGGGAAAGAATATAGTGGGACTCTGTACTTTCTGCTCAGTTTTGCTATGAATCTACAATGGCTTGAAGAAAATTAGGTAGGAAGACTATAGATACTGTTACACATCCATTAGGTTGTCAGAAATTTAGAAGCCTGAAAATGCCAAGATTGTTGAAGATATGAAGTAATCTGTGCACTTATATATATGTTGGGGGAACATATATTGACACAGCTACTTTGGAAAACAATTTGGAATTATTTAATAAGGTTGAATATGCACTTACCCTATAATGCAGCAATTCTACTCTTAGGTATAGCCTCTATAAAGATTTCATAGAGAAACAGCTGAAAACCACTCCAAACTTAATGTAAACCACAGAAAATTTGATATTTTCACACAATGGAATACCAGATAACAGTAAAAGCAATGAACTATGGCTACATACATCAACTGGAGGAATTTCAGAAATGCAATACTGCACAAAAAAGGAAAGATTAGATATGGAGTCTAAAACACATGAAATTTAATAATATATTATTCTATAACATTTATGGCAAAACTATAAGGAAAAGTAAGGAAATGATTAGCTGTAATTACAGGATAGTGGTTCCTTTAGTGGAGGGTGGGAGTTGGAGGTGTGACAGATATATAAGACTCAGAATATCTCAAAGGTACTGGTAACATTCTATTTTTATTCTGGGTAGTGAGTATAAAAAATCCATTTATTATTTAAATTTCATGTGTATGTGTATATGTATTCTTCTGTATGTATGTCATATTTCACAATAAAAGTTTTTGTTAGAAATCATTCTCTAGTTTTTTATTATATTAAACCTATTTTTATTATCATTTTATCCTCCTGCCCCATAGAGGTCTGCCTGTAGTAGAAGAGGAAGAAGCCAATACAGAGGCAGAAATTGAGATAAGAAAAACAGGGACAATACAAAAGAGTTCTTTTGTACTGAAATTGGCTGAGGTTAGCACTACCTTAAACTTTTTATACTATTTTTTTTCTTATTCTAGTTTGAATGAGGTTCCTGTCACTGAATATCAAGGATCCTGAATAACAGCCTTAAAAAAGAAGGAAACTTTGTCATTTGTGACAACCAGGGTGAACCTGGAGGACATTATATTAAGTGAAAGAAACCAGGCACAGAAAGACAAATACCCATGATTTCACTCAAATGTGGAATCTAAAAAAGTTGAACTCGTAGAAGCAGACAGTAGAATGGTGGGCTGGGATGGCAGGATACCAGGGGCTGGGGGTGGCAGGGTGACAGAGGAGATGTTGGTCAAAGGATACAAAATTTCAGTTAGATAAGAGGAATAGATTCAAGGAATCTATTGTACAACACGGTGATTATAGTTAATAACAATGTATTGTATTGTTGAAAATCACTAAGAGAGTAGATTTTAAGCGTTCTCACCACAAAAAATGACAAGTATGTGAGATAACACACGTGTTAACTAACATTATTTAGCCATTCCACAAAGTACACATATTTCAAAACATCATGTTGTACATGATAAATATATACAATTTTTGTCAATTAAAAAATAAATAAAAGAATCCTGAATTATCTTTTGTGTTTACTTGTGCATTATTTCTCTCTCCCACTACACTAAAAATTTCATAAAAGCAGGGGCTATTATCTCCCTTGGTCATCTCCAAATTCCCAGTGACCTAATACAATGCCTGGCATATAAGCACTTCTTACATATTTGTTGAATGAATAATAAACAACCTAATCAAAATTGCACTCATGACACTTTTGTAATTGTCTATTAGTGTCTATACATCGTTAAGTATGATGGTATTATTATATCATTAGTACCTAGCAAAATGCCTAGTACGTGATGGGTACTGAATAAATTAATATTAAATGCATACATAGAAACAATTTTTCTCTGCAATGCAATCTCTATTTCAAACTGTCCTTCATTCGAAAGTCAGAGGAAATAACCTTTAGAATCAATTTGATGTTTACATCCACATGCTTAAAATCTTCCAGTAAAAATAATAGTAGAATTGTACGGTGCTCACTACAGGATCAGGCACTATTCTGAGTGCTTTTTCACATAATTCCTTTAATCCCACAACAACTCTACGGAGGTGAAATTATCCTTATTTTGCAGATGAGGAAACTGAGACACAGAGAAGTTAAGTAACTTGCCTAACATTATACAGCTATTGGTGGTACAGTCAGAATTGAAATCTGTAATCTGGCTCTACAGACAATGCTCTTGACCATATTACTATAATCCTTCAGTGGTTCTGTGCGGCCTAAGGGGTAAACTTCAAAATCCTTAGGGTGCAAATGAGGCTCATCGCAATCTCATCCCCAGCGTCTTTTTCCACCACTGTCTTCTGAATCCTAGGCTCCGAACATTATAACATTTTTACTGAATATATTGCTTCCTTTCATAGCCACAAGCCTTTGAACATGAGATGTCCTTTGTTCTCTTTCTTCCCGACAAACTTCTCTTCATTTCTTAAAACCCAGTTCAAAATGTCTTCTCTGTGAAGCCCTCCTCAATTCAGCCTTTTTTGTCTGCACTTCTTCAACTTTGTGAGCTCTTATCATATGATGTTGTACTTATTTAGTTTATGTATTTTTCTTCTCTACTGATTTTGAGCTCATCTAGGGCTGGGCTCATATCTTATTTGTTTATATAGCCTCAGTGGCAAAACTAGTGCTGATGTATATAAAGTACTCAACAAATGTGTTTGTTTTTGAGACAGGGTCTTGCTGTCACCTAGGCTGGAGTGCAGTAGCGCAGTCATAGCTCACTGCAACTTCAAACTCCTGTACTTAAAGGATCCTCCTGCCTCAGCCTCCTGAACAACTAGGACTACAGGCATGAGCCACTACATCCAACTACTTTTTTATTTTTAAAATTTTTATAGAGATAGGGTTTCGCTGTGTTGCCTGGGCTGGTTTCCAGTTCCTGGGCTCAAGCAATCCTCCCGCCCTTGGTTTCCCAAAGTGCTGGGATTGCAGGCATGAGCTGCCATGGCCAGCCAGCAAATGTTTGTTAAATCAATGAACACCGAGTACAACTTGAGTTGAATACTCAAGATATATAGTGAAACTCTGACAACCTATCAGTTTGTCACTATTTATCTATCTACAAAACAAACACTGTTTTGCTTAGCTATTGTAGTTTTAGTCTCTGCCTTTTTTTCCTTTGTTCATTTAGCATTGTGTTGACGCTTACCATATCACACAAATTTAATTAGGTGTCTGCCTTTCTCACTTGTACTACACATATACCTTGAAGGTAGGTGCCATATCTTACTATCTTCAATAAAGGGGCCCAGAGGAGCTTGGAATATAGTAAAGGCTTAGTACATCATTGTCAAAGTGAATTTAATTTCAATTGCTATGGTTAGGCTATCTGGAGTATCTCTTATCTCCAGATCTTTTTCCTTTGACAAGCCTGGTAATTTTGCTTTCAGTTTTTCTTATGCCATTTATCTTTATCCCTATAGCAATCCCAATATGTGGAATGCAGGTTGTTGGGCTAGAGATATGAAGATACAACTGTAGAAGGTGATATATTTTCATTTAGCTTTTCAGTTTTCCTATAGTATAAACTCTAACTAGTTTGTCCCTCAAATTAAAAAATAATAGTGGATTCTCTGTCCTTCAGATTTTAAGACAGCAATGCTAATAACATGGTATCAAAAGAAATTATTTGAAAAGATTACTATAAAATATTACACCCTACCTGTAATTGGAATCTCCCAGTATGAAAATTTCGAGAAATAAAAACACACTGAGAATGAGATTTAATCTTCGCCATTGATGGTCTTTGCCTGCATCTCTCATCAATTGCTTTAAATTTGGAATTTTGAAATATTTCTCTGAAAAATATTTTATAAAGAATATTATTAAACCTGAGTTAGATTATAAAACAATTAAAATCATTATTTCCAATATTTATACATAAAGCTTTAAAATCAGAATAAATACATTATAGCATATTTATTTTTAAAAGCACAAGTCAATTTACATACTCCCTACTCATATGTTAGATTTCATTACATCTATTTTATTCATAGAATATAAATTAAGCCATTTATTTTATTCATGAAATGTAAATTAAGTTATGTATGCAGAGCTAATATTTTCAGTTTGAATATTAGCCAGGAGTCTTTGATATACTTCTTTCTGGTTGTGAGAAAATTAGTTGGTTTTAATGTTAATTAGCCTTTTCATAAAATTATCCTTAATGGTGAAGGAAATTAAATAAAATGCAACTCATTGGTCAATTTTGGTATTTAATCATATTTCTGGCAAAAAGTAAGAGGGGCTGGTGCGGTGGCTTACGCCTGTAATCCCAGCACTTTGGGAGGTCAAGGCGGGCGGATCACTTGAGGTCAGGAGTTCAAGATCAGCTTGGCCAACATGGTGAAACCCTGTCTCTACTAAAAACACATACAAAAAAATTAGCTGGGCATGGTAGCACATGCCTGTAATCCCAGCTACTAGGGTGGCTGAGGCAGGAGAGTTGCTTGAACTCAGGAGGTAGAGGTTGCAGTGAGCCTAGATTGTATCACTACACTCCAGCCTGGGTGACAGAGTGAGACCCTGCCTCAAAAATAAATAAATAAGAGGAAGAAAACTGAATTGACTCACAATGGAAGAGTACCGTAATCTTTTCTTATCCATGCAACCACAAGTAAGTGAGAGAGAGTTAAAGAAAAGAAAGCAGCAAGTAAAATCTCAGATGATCAAAGACAGTTAAGTATAAGGGAATGTAGTTTCAAACAGTCATTCTCAACTTAAGGATTTAAAGAACAATGGAATATTTTTCAGTATTGAAAAGAAAGAAATGAGCTATTAAGGCATGAAAAGACATGGAGGAAACTTACATGTGTATTACTAAAGTAAAAGAGGTCAATCTTAAAAGCTACATACTATATGATTCCAACTATATGACATTCTGGAAAAGGCAAAACTATGGAGACAGTAAAAGGATCACTGGTTGCCAGGAGTTAGGGGGAGGGAGGGATGAATAGATGGACCATAAAGGACTTTTAGGGCAGTGAAAATACTCTGTGTGATACTATAATGGTGGATTTTACACATTCATCGAAACCCACAGAATATACAACACCAAGAGTGAACCCTAATGTAAACTATAAAATATGGGTGATAGTGAAGTGTTAATGTAGATTCATCAATTGTAAACTCCTCCCAAATAATAATAATAATGCTCATTGCCATTTCTTCTTTCAGAGGTACTAGAATATTTCCAAATTAATTCAAGAGATCATATTATGTTAATGAGGCATTAACAATTAGGATTCACTTATTCATTGAATTCAATTCTCGACAAATATTTATTGAGTATTTACTAAGTGCCAGGCTTTATGCTGGATGTTGTATATATAGTGGTAGGAGGAAAAAGAACAGCCCCCTGCCCTCATGGAACTCTCATTGCTTCCATCGAGCTTAAATACTAGAAAAGAAGACAGACATTAATAACGTAATCACAAGAAAATGAAAAATTACAAGAGTGGAAATTGCTGTCAAGGAAAGCTACCTGGTATTGTGGATGTAACTAAGGGAATTAACCTGGTTAGAGAGGTCAGGGAAGCCTTTAGTATTAAGGTAGGGATGATTTAACTGGGCATCTGAAGAAACAGCAGTAGTTATTAGGTAGAATGTGGTGGAAGAGGGGACATGTGAAAGTAAGTATATCTAGACAGAGAGAATATCATATACAAAGACCTACTGGCCAGATTAGGACAATGTAACAGAAACACAGAAAGCAGGAGGGAAAGTGGGAGATGAGATTGGGGAATATGTGTGGGGGTAGACCATGTAAGCCCTTAAAAGTTTTATCTTTAATCCAAAGGCAATGAAAAGTCCTTTAAAATATAGTGAGTGTGGGGTAGAAGGGTAGTTTGGGCTGGGCGCAGTGGTTCACGCTTGTAATCCCAGCACTTTGGGAGGCCGAGGAGGGCGGATCACCTAAGATCAGGAGTTCGAGATCAACCTGGACAACATAGCAAAACCCTGTCTCTACTAAAAATACAAAAATTAGCTGGATGTGTTGGCATGCACCTGTAGCCCCAGCTACTCAGGAGGCTGTGGCAGGAGAATTGCTTGAACCTGGGAGGCGGAGGTTGCAGCGAGCCAAGATCACACCACTGCACTCCAGCCTGGTGACAGATCAAGACTCCGTTTCAAAAAAAAAAAAAAAAAGGGTAGGGTGACTTGATCAGATTTGCCCTTGGAGAACATCTGGTAGAAGTGTGGAGAAAAGATTAAATGAGTACGATACTGAAGGTGGAGTCAATTTTAACTTCTTTTGCAGTAGTCTCTGTGGGGGATAATGAGAACTTGGATAGGATGGTGGCAGTGGTAAAGGAGATAACTGAGTAGATATGAGCAATATATGAAGTAAGGTAAATAGAATTTAGTGATAGTTTGAGTTTAGTGGGAGTGGGGAGATTCAAGGATGTCTTTCATTTTTATCACCAGCCCCCTAAATTGCTCCTCCCTTTCATCATCTCCTTGTCTCAGTAAATGGCTGAGCTTAACTGAGCTGAGTAAAGTATAAACTACGTATCTGCTTACGGCAAAAAGTTATGCATCAGCATTAACTCTGCCATTTTCATCCAATCTGTCAACAAGATCTGCTGACTCTACCTGCAAAACCTATCCCAGATCCAACTCCATCTTTTCATCTCCTCTACTTCCATGTTAGTGCAAGACACCGTAAACTCTCACCCTGACTCTGCAATAGTCTCCAGACTTGTCTCTCTGCTTTCACTCTTGCTCCATTAAAATTCAGGCTTCATAGAGACATAAAGATATTTTAAAAATATCTTTAAAAGTGTAAATCAGAACTCTCATACATTGCTAGTGAGAGTGTATATACACTTCTGAAAAGTGTTTGGCCGTTTCTAATAAAGCTAATCATATGATCCAACAATTCTAGTTTTAGGTATTTACCTAAGAAAAGTGAAAGTACTTGTACTTTATATGTACAAGATTTATACAAGAATATTTATGGCAGCCATTTTCCTAAGAGCTAAAAACAAAATGACCCCAATGTCCATTAACAAAAGAATAGATAAACCAAGGTATATTCATAAAATGGAATATTACTCAATAAAACAATGAACTATGGATGGATAAATGCAATATAAATGAATCTAAAAATATTATTATCATTTTGAGACAGAGTCTTGTTCTGTTGCCCAGGCTCGAGTGCAGTGGCACAATCTCAGCTCACTGCAACCTCTGCCATCTGGGTTCAAGTGATTCTCCTGCCTCAGCCTCCCGAGTAGCTGGGATTACAGGCATGAACGACCATGCCCGATTAATTTTTGTACTTTTAGTAGAGACAGGGTTTCACTGTTCACTGGTCTCCAACTCCTGACCTCAAGAGATCTGCCCGCCTCAGCCTCCCAAAGTGTTGGGATTACAGACGTCAGCCACTGCGCCCGGCCTCAAAAATATTATGTTGAGTGAAAAAAACAGACATAAAAAGTCCATTATGATACAAGAACAGGCAAAATTAATCTGTGGTGATAGAAACCTGAATAAATCTTTCCTCTGAGGTAGGAGGTCAGGAGTGATGCCTGGAAAGGAGCATGAGGGAACTTCCTAGGGCAGTGAAAAGCTCTATATCTTGACAGAGTGGTGGTTACATAGGTGTATATTTGTTGAAACTGATAGCTGTACATTTCAAATCTATGCAGTTTCTTGTATGTAAACTATACCTCAATTTTAAACAGTTATTAAAATGTAAATCAGCTATAGGATAGTCTTTATTTACTTATTTATTTTTGAGACAGAGTCTCGCTTGTCACCCAGGCTGGAGTGCAGTGGTGGGATCTTGGCTCACTGCAATCTCTGCCTTCAGGGTTCAAGCAATTCTCGTGTCTCAGCCTCCCAGGTAGCTGGGGTTACAGGCGTGTACCACCATTCCCGGGTAATTTTTGTGTTTTTAATAGAGACAAAGTTTTGCCATGATGGCCAGGCTGGTCTCGAACTCTTAGCCTCAAGTGATCCACCTGCCTTGGCCTCCCAAAGTGCTGGGATTACAGACGTGAGTCACCGCACCAGGCCTAGGATAGTCTTTAAAATGGAGATAATATTACTTTTACCTCATGGGGCTAAGTCTGAATGAGATAACATATGAAGCATTTATAACAGTGCCTATTTAGAAAGCAGTCAGTGTTAGCTATTACGATGACGGTGCTATTCCCCTTGTTTAGAAACTGCCAATGGCACAAATAAAATCCAACTCCGTGTTCTAGCCTACAAATTCTTAAGTGATCTGGCTCTTACATGTCTCTTCAATTTCATGATTGTTTCCCTTTCTCACTGCAGATTATTCACATTGGCCTTCTTTCTGTTTGTTAAACATGTCAAGACCATTCCTTAGGGTCTTTGTATTTGCTCTGCTTTCAGTTTAGACAGCTCTTGCACAAAGTCTTCCTATGTCTGGTTCCTTCTAACTCAGATCTCAGATTAAATACAACCTACCTTAGTACACACATATCCTGACTAGTTTATCTGTTCATTATCTGTCCCCTGCTAGTGGCATTGCAAATCTATTAAACAGAAACTTTTTAAACTTGTTCACAGTTGTAACCTCAATACCTAGAACAATGGCAAGCACCTAATAAATATTTGTTGGAAGAATGAATAAGTGAATAATTTCTAGGTTTCTGACTTCTGAATGTAGATGGGTAGTGTGTATTCATTTGCAACAAGGAACACTGGAAGACTGTGTGGGAAGATTATGTTACAATTTATATATTTTAAACATTAGACAATGCAAACGCTGAATTTATGTATGTATGTATGTATGTATTTTTGAGATGGAGTTTCACTCTTTTCACCCAGGCTGTAGTGCAATGGCACAATCTCGGCTCACTGCAACCTCTGCATCCTGGGTTCAAGCGATTCTCCTGTCTTAGCCTCCCGAGCAGCTGGGACTACAGGTGTGTGCCGCTACATCTGGCTAACTTTGTTTATCGTTAGTAGAGAGAGGGTTTCACCATTTTGGCCAGGCTAGTCTCAAACTCCTGACCCCAGGTGATCCGTCCGCTTTGGCCTCCCAAAGTGCTGGGATTATAGGTGTGAGCCACGGCACCCGGCCTGAAATGATTTAATATTAATATTAATATTAATAATTAATAATTAGAAACAGCAAATTTTACAGTTGAAAGGAATTAAGGTGTCAAATGATCTTTTTCTGTTTCTGGCAAAAGACTACTTTCAGACCATACCAGGGCATTCTGTCAGCTTTTTTCTTAAATATCTCCTAAAGAAAAAGTTTCTTTCCTTTTCTATAATGTTTTCAATCTCTAAAATTGGGAGTCAATTTTTAAAAACATTTTCACCTACCATTACAATCAAACCTATGTCTTCTAGAAAATAAAGGCCGGGTGTGGTGGCTCATGCCTGTAATCCCAGCACTTTGGGAGGCCGAGGCGGGCGGATCGTCTGAGGTCAGGAGTTCGAGACCAGCCTGGCCAACATGGTGAAACCCCGTCTCTACTAAAAATACAAAAACAGGCGGGTGTCGTGGTGCGAACCTGTAATCCCAGCTACCCAGGAGGCTGAGTCAGGAGAATCGCTTGAACCCAGGAGGTGGAGTTTGCAGTGAGCCAAGATCGCGCCACTGCACTCCAGCCTGGGCGACAGAGCAAGACTCTGTCTCAAGAAAAGAAAAAAAAAAAAAGAAAAGAAAGTAGGTCTTGTTATCCTTCAAAATTTTAATGCATGAACATTCCTATCACCAGTACTTCTTTTTTCAGGCTACTTAAAAAATGTAAAGCCTTCCGTCCCCAACCAAAGGGTCTATAACCAAATCCCAAACTAAACAATCAATACTATCATAGTTATTTAAGTTTACTTCCATTTGAAAAAGTCCTTTATTGAATTTTTAAAAGAAAAAAAGGTTAAAGAAATATTCGAATAATCCTTACCTTCGTTTGCAAATCAGGAACCACAAAGCTGATGCCAAAGCAAAGAAACCAATTCCCAAAGTGACAGCACCAGCAGCAAGAAAATAGGTCAAGTAATTAAAAAAACCTATACAAACAAATTACAAAAGATTATTTCATGCATGTATTTTTATTCTCTAGGTAAAACTGAATGATAAACTTCAAATGATATAGCATGTTGTAGTGTTAAGACATTAACCAGGAGATTGGGAGATGGGAATTCTAGTCCCATGCAATTCTAATAAACTCCAAGACCCTGGATTAGAGAATTACACAGGGCCTCCTGATGATTATGGCCCAGGGCACATTTCTTTGATGATGCCAATATTTGAAACCTAGGTTTCGTTTGTGTTTGTACAGCTGCCACCACCTTGTTATCTGTTTTTCTTCCTTCTCAGTCTAGCTTTTTTTTTTTTCCCCTCCCGTATCATTCCTGGCAGGCCTCCAACATAAGACTTTTTAAGATTTTCATTTTAAGATTTGTGTTATCAATCTCTATAAGGAGGCAGATAAGAGTAATAAAGTAACAAATATGAGGAATTTTTAAGATCTTAGAAATCTTTACAAGTTTTATCTAAAAGGTAAAATGAGGATGGGCGTGGCGGCTCATGCCTGTAATCCCAACACTTTGGGAGACTGAGGCGGAAGGATCTTGAAGCCAGGAGTTGGATACCAGCCCAGCCATAGAGTGAAATACCATCTCTACAAAAAGTTAAAAAACAATTAACCAGGGGCAGGGCGCCGTGGCTCACGCCTGTAATCCCAGCACTTTGGGAGGCTGAGACGGGCAGAGCACCTGAGGTCAGGAGTTCGAGACCAGCCTGGCTAACATGGTGAAACCCTGTCTCTACTAAAAATACAGAAATTAGCCGGGCATGGTGGTACATGCCTGTAGTCCCAGCTACTCGGGAGGCTGAGGCAGGAGAATCACTGGAACCTGGGAGGTGGAAGTTGTCGTAAACCGAGATAGCACCACTGCACTCGAGCCTGAGACTCTGTCTCAAAAAAAAATTAACCAGGTGTGATGGCATTTGCCTGTTAGTCCCAGCTACTCAGGAGGCTGAGGCGGGAGGATTGCTTGAGCCCAGGAATTTGAGATTACAGTGAACTAAAATTGCTCCACTGCACTCTAGCCTGGGCAACAAAGCAAAACCTGTCTCTCAAAAAAAAAAAAAAAGAAAGAAAGAAAGCTAAATGAAAGCAATATAAAGTAAAAGTATATCACCAATTTTACAATTGGAAAAACCTATAGGAATTATATGATATTACCCTTTATTTTATAGATGGTAAAATTGAGGTCCACGAAAGAAAAGTAATAAACTAAGGTTATGCAGCAAATTAAAGCCAGACCTCTGGGTTTTTTTTTCCTATTATCTTATCCCTGCTACAAATTATCATAATTCTAGTATGTATTAAAAATAATTAGGAATGAAGAAGGCTTGGGGTAATTATAGGTTGGTCAAGTCTTCCTTAAGATTCTGAAAGCTGCATAAAGTAAACCGTAGAAAGCTTTCAAAAAACAAAAGAAGGAAAGAAAGCTTTCTGTTTTTTTGTTTTGTTTTGTTTTGTTTTTGTTTTTGTTTTTGTTTTGAGTGAGCTCTGTCACCCAGGCTGGAGTACAGTGGTGAGATCTCGGCTCACTGCAACCTCCGACTCCTGGGTTCAAGCGATTCTCCTGCCTCACCCTCCCAAGTAGCTGGGACTACAGGTGCACACCACCACGCCAGGCTAATTTTTGTATTTTTAGTAGACACGGGGTTTTACCATGTTGGCCACGCTGGTCTCTAACTCCTGACCTCAAGTGATTCACCCACCTCAGCCTCCCGCAGTGCTGGGATTACAGGCATAAGCCATCACGCTCAGCCGAGAAAGAAAGCTTTCATAGGAGGCTTTATAGAACTTGAACCTTAAGACAACTGAGGAGTATATTATTTTGGGAAAAGATTGAGTATAAAACTAATTGAAGATCTTTGTGTGAATATATTATCAAGTTCCACTAAGAATATGACATGATAAAGATTTTGTCATTTCCATATTTTTATTGTTTTCTAAGTAATTTCCAGCTTCAAGATAGTGCCTGTCAAATCTTAGTTTTCTTTGAGATCAGAAATGTCTACATTCAGGAATTAATTAGTGGTACAAAAAGGTTATATAAGGTTATTTCTCAAAGTGATACTTTTAATATAAAAACTCCAAATGCCCCAAATTAGGAAATCAATTAAATAAGTTATAATGATGCTATATATGAAAAATATATCTAACATTTATACTGCAAATACTATATGCCAGGCACTATTCAAAGTGCTTTATAAACATTAACTTATTTACTTCTCCAAATTCTATAAGTTAAATACTATGATTTCTGCACTTTACATATGAGAAAACAGATGAGTCAAATTGAGGCTAAATAGCTTTCTCAAAAGAATAGAACTGGTAAGTGGGGGAATAGTAGTAATTTAAATGTTGCTAAGGGACTTTATCATCTAGATTGGGTAAGGAATAGAGGCAGTGAATATCTTTAGATTTTTATTTTTAGAAAAACAGTTAAGTATAGATGTTAAAAATTTAAGGGTAACCAAAGCAATCTACAGATTCAATAGAATCCCTATCAAAATAACAATGAAATTCTTCACAGAAATAGGAAAAAATTCTAAAATGTGTATGAAACCACAAAACACCCTGAATAGCTAAAGCAATCCTGAGGGGAAAAAAAAAGTTGGAGGTATCACACTATCTGACTTCAAAATATACTACAATGCTATAATAACCAAAACAGCATAGCATTGGCATAAAAAACAGAAACATAGGCCAGTGGAACAGGATGGAGAACCCAGAAATAAATCTACATGTCTACAGCCAACTGATTTTTGCCAAAGTGCCAGGAACACTCACCGGAGAAAGAACAACCTCTTGTGGGGAAAACTGGCTATCCATCTGCAGAAGACCCTTATCTCTCACCATATACAAAAATCAACTCAAAATGGATTAAAGACTTAAATGTAAGAGCCCAAACTATAAAACAACTAGAAAAAAAAATAGGGGAAATGCTTCAGGACATTGGTTTGAGAAAAGATTTTATGAATAAGACCTCAAAAGCACAAGTAACAAAAGCAAAAATTGATAAATGAGATTATATCAGACTAAAAAGCTTCTGCACAGCAAAGGAAACAACCAACAAAGCGAAGAGACAACTTGTAGAATGGCAGGAAATATTTGCAAACCATTCGTCTGACAAGGGATTAATATTTAAAATATACAAGGAACTCAACTCAGCATCAAAGAAACATAATCTTATTAAAAATGGGAAGATGATCTGAATAGACATTTCTCAAAGGACGTACAAATGACCAACAGGTATATGAAAAAATGTTCAGCATCACTATCATCAGGGAAACGCGAATCAAAACCACAATGAGATATTATCTTACCCTAGTTAGAATGGCTATTATCAAAAAGACAAAAAATAACAAATGCTGGCAAGGATGCAGAGAAAGGGGAACCCTTATAGACTGTTGGTGAGAATGCAAAATAGTACAGCCATTATGAAAAACAATAAGGAGTTTTCTCAAAAACCTAAAAATAAAACTACCACGTGATTCAGCAATTCCACTTCTGCATATACATTTAAAGGAAAGGAAAGGAAATCAGTATACTAAAGTGACATCTGTACCCCTGTATTTGTTGCAGCATTATTCACGATAGCCAAGATATGGAATCAATCTAGGTGTCCATCAATAAATGAATGAATAAAGAAAATGTGGTATATATACACAATGGAGTATTATTCAGTCCTAATAACAAATGAAACATTTGCAGCAACATGGATGGGACTGGAAGTCATAAGTGAAATAAGCCAGGAACAGAAAGACAAAAATTGTACGTTCTCATTCATATGTGGGAGCTTAAAAAGGGGATCTCATGAAGAAGAGAGTAAAATGGTGGTTACCAGAGACTGGGAAGGGAGTGGGGGAAGGGAGGATGATGAGAAGTTGGTTAATGGGTACAAACATACAGTTAGAAGGAATATGTTCTCTAATGTTTGATGGCAGAGCAGGGTGACAACAATTAACAATAATGTATTATATATTTCAAAATAGCTAGAAGATAAGAATTGTAATGTTCTAAATACAAAGACAAATGCGTGAGGTGAGGGATAGCCCAATAACCCTGGTTTGAGTATTACACATTGTACACATGTATCAAAATATCACACTGTACCCCATAAATGTGCACAATTACGTCAATTAAAAAAAACCAAAAATTTAAGAGTATCATAAAAGAGAATCTAAATGGCCAATAAACATGTAAAAATGTTATTAATCATTAAGGAAGTGAAAATTAAACCACAATGAGATACTATGACCACTATATACAGTGCCTAAAATGAAAAAGAAAATATGAAGTACTGGCAAAGAGGCAGAGTAGCCTGAACTCTCATTCACTGGTGGTGAGAATGTAATTTGGTAAAATACTTTAAAAAACTGTTTAGCATTATTATGAAAGCTGAACACATGCATACTTACGATCCAGCAATTCAAGTCTTAGACAAATACCCAACTGAGGAGCATATGTGTGTTCACAAAAACATGTACTAAAATATTTATAGGAGCACTACTTGACATAGCCCACAAATTGGAAACTGTCCAAATGCCAATCAATAGTTGAATGGATAAATTTAAAAGTTGAATTAATTAAAGAAAACAAAATATTTACAGCAATGAGAAAGAATAAACTACAACTATGCACAACATGATAAATTTTATAAACGTAATGCTGAGCAAAAGAAGGCAGACATAAAGTTCAAACACCAACATCAGGGGGAGTTCTGGGATGTTGGTAATGTTCTGTTTCTTGATCTGGATGTTGCTTCTATAGGTCTGTTGACTGAAACTTCATCAAACTTACCACTTATGACTTATCAATAAACTAGATCTATATGTGTCAGTATGAATAAAACTGAAAAAATAATACAAAAAAAGCAAGTTCTATAAATGTATATTCAATGATTCCAATTATGTACTGATTTCACTTATGCACATTTAAAGAAAACATAAAATAATACTATTTTTAACAATTAAATATTTAAAAAGTATTAAAGTACACCAAATTTTACTATTAGTTGTCTTTTGGTGGGGAAAGCGGTGGATGGCACTGTGGATAGAACACAAACTTAGACTTTATCTATAATATTTCATTGGTTTTTCTTTCCTTAAACACTTTTTTAGACTAGCCAAGTGCAGTAGTGATGAGAGAAGAAAGAACTGAATAAGGAGTTCGATCTGCAACTGACTGTGCACAATCAATTAAGACTCACTGCCTTCGGAGCAGCCTTTTATGGAGTGGCGGGTAAGTGGAGGGTCTCTCTATATTGCCCAGGCTGGTCTTGAACTCCTGGCCTCAAGTGATCCTTCCATCTCAGCTTCCTGAGTAGCTGAGATTACAGGCATGAGCCACCATGCCCAATATTTCATTTCTTTAAAAAAATTACAGATCTGGGCCAGGCGCGGTGGCTCACGCCTGTAATCCCAGCATTTTGGGAGGCTGAGGTGGGCGGATCACAAGGTCAGGAGATCAAAACCATCCTGGCCAACACGGTAAAACCCTGTCTCTACTAAAAATACAAAAAATTAGCTGAGCATGGTGGCGTGTGCCTGTAATCCCAGTTACTCGGGAGGCTGAGGCAGGGGAGTCGCTTGAACCAGGGAGTTGGAGGTTGCAGTGAGCTGAGATTGCACCACTGCACTCCAGCCTGGTGACACAGCAAGACTCTGTCTCAAAAAAAAAAAAAAAATTACAGATCTGAAGCTTAGATGAACAAAAAAATGTTCATTTATGAGGAGATTACATGGGTGTTTACTATTCTTTTTCCTTTTCCTTTTTCTGCTTTTCTCCAATATGTATTGGAGGCAAGGCCTGACTCTGTTGCCCAGGCTGGAATGCAGTGGCACAATCATAGCTCACTATAGCCTTGAGCTCCTGGGGCTCAAGCAATCCTCTCATCCTCCCTCCTTGGCCTCCCAAGTAACTAGGACTACAGGCACATGCCACCATTCCTGGCTAATCTTTTTAATTTTTTTAGAGACAGAGTCTCACTTTTTTGCCAAGGCCGATTTCCTTTTCTCAAATATTTAAAAAATATAGACATAACATAATCTCAATTTTGTTTAAAAAAAAAAGAGAGATAGGGAGAGAGATAGCAAAAACTATTTGTATAAAGAAAACAATCAACTTTGGTTATTCCTGGGGTAAGGGCTTATAGGTACAATTTTCACTCTAGACCTTTCTATATATCAAATTTTCTACCATGAATATCTTAGAAAAATCAGAAAAATTTTTTTTAAATTTTCATATATAATTCCTGACTCATCTATTTAGATATTACAAGTCTCCTTGTAGCACCTTCTATATTTTTATCACTGTGTTTATAGCCCACTTAGCTTTCACCTCTGAGAATCTCTGCCCTCCTACCTTTCCTCTCCTTAAAAATTCTCTATTACGACAGAAAATAGGTGTGATTAGTACACCATTCCAGCCCCTGGTTTAAATGAATCATTTACCTCTCAGGGGAATTGCAATGAGATATAAAGAACATGAAAGTTTCCAAAACATTTTACCACGGGAAGGAAAAATTACATATTTGCTAATACCTTCAATGAGTGTCACTTTCTGTCTAAATCAATTTGTAAAATGAGAAGGCTTGACTGTGTGATCACTAAGTTCTGCTCCTATTCTAAAGGTTTAGTCAATATATATCATAAAGTCGTATTATATACAAAGATAGTATTTTTACTTTTTTGACTCCACTCTTAAGTATCCTATCTAAAGTAACTCCCCACTTTCAATAGTCACTCTTTGTATCACTCTATTTCTTTGTCTTTAATAATAATCATTAATAATATTCTTTATTTATTGGTTTATTGTCTGTTGTCTGTCTTCTTAGAACCACTATAGTATTCTCAGAGTTTAGAATAATGACTGGTTACTCAATAAATGATTAAATATTCAATGGATAATGATAGATGCTAGTATTAAAACATGGATAATATAAGGTTCTTTCCCTCAAGAAGTATGCTGCTTAGTAGGAAGGACATACATATTTTTTAAGTTCAATTTAAAAGTATTATGGGTGTTATAATGGAAGAATAATACAAAATAAAGACATAGGAAGATCTATAGAAAGATAGGAGAAAGTTTTTTTTTTTTAAGGCTGCATAGTTAAACATTGCCTGATAATTTTCTATTGCCAATTACTAGTCAAGAATTGGTGATTCAAAGATAAGTAACAGGTGGGGAGCGTTGGCTCACACCAATAATCCCAGCACTTTGGGAGGCCGAGGCAGGCAGATCATCTGAGGTGAGGAGTTCGAGACCAGCCTGGCCAACATGGTGAAACCCCATCTCTACTAAAAACAAAACAAAACAAAAAACTAGCCAGACGTCGTGGCACATATCTGTAATCCCAGCTACTTGGGAGGCTGAGACAGGAGAATAGCTTGAACCCAAGAGGCGGAGGTTGCAGTGAGCCGAGATTGCACCTCCAGCCTGGGTGACAGAGCAAGACTCCATCTCAAAAAAAAAAAATGGAGAAGAAAAAGAAAAGTAACACACGATTATGGAGCATACAATCTAGAAGGGGGCAAGTCATTTAAACATATATGTTCCTTAAAATGTCCTGAGTGCTATGAGAATAACCTGTTTACAGTGGTATAACAACAGAGGCAGTTTGGCCCAATGCAAAAACAGTTTTCTAGAAATGACACTTAAGCCAAATCTTAAGATTTAGACTGTAAGAAATAGTGTAGTTAAAGGGATTAAGTCTTAAACCTGATTATGACTTTTCCATATGAAAATAAATAAAACTCTCTGTCTCACTACAGCACCCTCCAGCTTACAATTGGCCCTTTTCTTACCATTTATAGCCAAACTTCTTAAAATAAAAATTTCTACTTCCATACAACTTCTATTTCCACAGTGATTAATAACTTCGTTAACACAAAATCCAAAGGTCACTACTGATTTTTCTCCCTCTCTTGCCTTAATGTCTGTAACTTAAATTCACTTGGTTTTCCTCCCAACTCTATGTCTATAATTGCATTTGTAGGTCCTTCTTCCTCAGCCTGTCTATATTCACATATTTATATATTTATGTGTTATATATTTATATGTTATAGACCTATGTATTAAATCAGAAGTACTAAGTATTTGTACCAGGAGTATTTTCAGATTATTTTTTGCAATGTTTCCTGAACTATAAGTCCTGCTTTTATTTTTGAGTATTCACAAACTACCTGTTTATTTTGCTCTTCTTGAGTTTTGCCAGATTTCATTCTTAGGTTTATGCTGTATATAAGTGGTTTAGTCCAATCAACAAATATCTGTTGAACAGCAAATACGTGTGAAACATTGCATGGGGGACTTAAGGGGGATAAAAATCTGTTTAAAATAAGAATAATCCTTACTCTGAGGTTTAAAAATCTATAATGAAATATATGCAGGGCTGATATGCAGCCAGTATGTAAAGTGGACCATATTGATTATTTATAGTTGGTGTCTGCTTTGATCTGATATAAGCCTAACTGGATCTGTGAACTTTGAAAAGCTACTTATTATATTGGATGGATCTTAATGTTCTCACTTGAAAAATGAGAATCATACTATCTCACAGAATTACAGCAAGCAATAAATAAGATAATATTATAAGAAATTAATAACATAATGGCTGGGTGCAGTGGCTCATGCCTGTAATCCCAGCAGTTTGGGAGGCCAAGGCAGGCAGATCACCTGAGGTCAGGAATTCAAGACCAGCATGGCCAACATGTTGAAACCCTGTCTCTACTAAAAACACACAAGATTAACCAGTCGTGATGGTGGGCACCTGTGGTCCCAGTTAGCGGGGCAGCTGAGGCAGGAGAATTGCTTGAACCCAGAAGGCAGAGGTTGCAGTGAGCCGAGATTGCGCCACTGCACTCCAGCCTGGGTGACTGAGTGAAACTCAGTCTCAAAAAAAAAAAAAAAAGGAAAGACATCTGAAATTTAACATGCATATAATAATATCAGGCCATAAAGCAAGACTCAACAAGTTTTTATTTGTTTCGTGGTTTTTGTGTGTGTGTGTGTGTGTGTGTGTGTGTGTGTGTGTGTTTTTCGAGACAAGATCTCACTCTGTTGCCCAGGCTGGAGTGCAGTGGCATGATCATAGCTCATTGTAGTCTCAAAGTCCTGGGCCCAGCTGATCCTCCCACCTCAGCCTCCTAAGTATCTAGGACTACACATGTGTGCCACCATCCCTGTCTAATTTTTAAATTTTTTGTAGAGATGGAATCTCTCTATGTTGCCCAGGTTCGTCTTGAGCTCCTGGCCTCAAGGGATCCTCCCACCTCGGCCTCTCAAAGTGCTGAGATTTCAAGTGAGAGCCACTGTACCTGGCCAAGACTCAACAAGTTTTATAAAATCATTATTATATATACCATGTTCTCTGACAATAATGCAATTAATCTCTACATTAATAACTTAAAATATACCCTAAGAAAAGCTCCTGTGCTTGGGGAAATTTAAAATCACATTGTAAATAACTCATTAATTAAAGAAGAAATCAGTGAAACCTAGAAAATACACAGGACTAGATAATAATGAAAATACTATGCATAAATACTCATAGGAACACAGCTGGAGCCAAATTTAAGGAAAATATATGGCCCTAAATGCATATATTAGAAAAGAAGTTTGAAAACTAATGAGCTTAGCATACAAATTACAAGTTGAAAAAGACCAGCAAAATAAACCCAAAGAAAGTAGAGGAAGAAAATAATAAAGAACAGAAATTAATGAAATAAAATTTATGATTCTTGGTAAAGACTAATAAAATGGACAAATCTCTAGTAAGATTAACCAAATGAAAAAAATAGAAGGCATAAATAAATAATATTAAAAATGAAGAAAGAACATAATCACAGATAGAGCAGAGGTTAAAATAAATACTTTCAATGAATTTATGCTAATATATTTGAAAACTTATACAAAATAATATATACCTAAAAAGTAACTTACAAAAAGTGACTCAAGAAGTAATAGAAAACATATATGAACAGTATCCGTTAAATTGAATCAGTAGTTACAAAATTTCCCCCAAAGAAAATAGCCCCAATAACTTTACAATTTCTACTGTATACCCATGATTCAAGTATTTCTTATCTTATACAAGCTCTTCCAGAGAATAGAAATAGATTTCTGGTTGTTCGTCTAAATATATTTTCCTCTTCTTCCCAGGCAAAAAGCTAGACTACATGACCCAGCTTCTCATACCTTTAGGTGAAGCCATATGACTGAGTTCTAACCAATAGAATTTGAGTGGAAGTGATGTCATAAAAACATTCCAGGCAATTTTCTTCATGATCTTTCTCCCTTTGGGCTGACGGGGGTGGAGATGATCCCTAGGGAAACCTTGGAAGCCACGTATTGATGTTACTACCATCAATCAACTGGATCTAATTGACATTTATAGAACATTCAACCCAACGAGAGCAAAATGCATATCCTTTCCAAGTACACATGATACATTATCTAATACAGAGAAATCATTGAAAACTACCATAACTTCTAAATAACACATTTCTAAATAATCATTAAAGAGGAAGTCTCAAAGGAAAATAAAAAGATATTTTCAACAAATAAAATGAAAGCACAGTATATCAGGATTTACAGCATGCCACTAAAGCACTACTTATAGGGTATAATCTACCATTTTTTTCATAAAAGGGCAACCTTTTAGCGTTCTGAAATTATAGATCCATTACTATACTATATATTTCATCACAAATTTGACTTTTTATTCTCGATGAACTGTAAATGTACATTCTGTAATCTAATCGCTTATGTGAGTAGTCAGGTAGGCTATGGAACATTTTTTTGTTAATTCTGCTTTGCCTTTTTTTTTTTTTTTTTGAGTGAAGTCTTGCTCTTGTCGCCCAGGCTGGAGTGCAGTGGCATGATCTTGGCTCACTGCAACCTCTGCCTCCCGGGTTCCACTGATTCTCCTGCCTCAGCCTCCCAAGTAGCTGGGATTACAGGCACCCACCACCATACCCAGCTAATTTTTGTATTTTTAGTAGAGATGGGATTTCACCATGTTGGCCAGACTGGTCTCGAACTCCTTACCTTGGGTGATCTGCCCACCTTGGCCTCCCAAACGCTGGGATTACAGATGTGAACCACCATGCCCAGCTTGCTTATTTTTAAAGTAAATTAAATCCAATGAATTATATATATCTTTGTTATCAAGCAAAAGAGGCTCACTGCCCAATGTGATTGCAGCAAATACTATGACATTGGGTTTTTGAGAAAAGAAAAAAGAAACGCTTTTTTTTTTTTTTTTTTTTTCTAGATAAGGTCTTGCTCTGTTGCCCAGCCCGGAGTGCAGCGGCTTGATCATGGATCACTTCCACCTCAATCTCCCAGGCTCAAACGATCCTCCCGCCTCACTCTTCCAAGTAGCTGGGACTTCAGGCATTTGCCATCATACCCAGCTAATTTAAATTAAATTTTTTTTTCGTAGAGATGGGATTTCACTACACTGTCCAGCTTGGTCTCAAACTCCTGAGCACAAGTGATCCTCCCACCTCAGACTCCAAAACTGCTAGGATTAGAAGCATGAGCCACCACACCCAGCCAAGAAGCTTTTTATTGCAAGTCAACCAACAAAGAGACAGGAGTCCAACTCAAATCTGCCACCCTATGCTGGCTTCAAGGCAGTATTTTTATTAGAAAAGTTCAGGGGGTGCATTCTGAAATTAGTAGGTGATTGGTGGAAGGAAAGGGAGGTCTGGAAAGTCCTCAGGCATGTGTACTTATCTCTTCATGCTTTCTCATGGGTCCCATGTGCAAATTCAGGGGGAGTTAATAAAAAACATATGGTGGAAATTCAGGCTGTAATGTCAGCAAATTCATTCTGCACAAACTCTAATTGGCCATATTGGTTTCAACTGATTTTAGTCAGTTTTGTTTTCTTACTATTAATAGCAAAGGAAGTTTCAGCTTTTCAGCAAGTTGTTTCTTATGTGTCATCCTGCAAACTCAAGAATATCTGTTGTTAGTTTCTTTAACTCTTTGGAGTAGGGTTTCATCTTCAGTCAGCTTATTTGACATTTTATTCTCGATGATCTATAAATGTACTGCGGTTATTCTAAACCTCTGCTTTTTGCTCAAGCTTTCAATTCCATCTACCACTATCCTTAATTTCAGATGACCTCTCACACCTTATGCTATCAAAGCGTTTCTTCCCACATTTAAAAGTGCTATAAACCTTATAGTTACAGTGATTGCAGAAAATTTCAATGTTATATAAAGCAAGGTGATATTTCAACCTTCCTTCTTAAATTTCTTCTTAAATTAGTTGGATCAGCTTTTGCATAAACTGACTAGAAACATTACTATATTTGCTATAAGATTTTTATTGAGGATGGCTTTTGCCACATCCCTAAATAATGTTCATTATTCCCAAATAGTCCCTAAATAAGATGCTATGAGAAATTATTTTTTTTCTTTCTATCAAGGATAACAATGTAGCTGATATACATCCTTTCATATTTACTTTATATTTTTACTGATTCACAATAGATGTGTATTTACAGGGTACATGTGATAATTTGATATAATAGAATCAAATCAGGGTAATTGGAATATCGATCACCTTAAATATATATCTTATTTTTTATTTTATTTTATTTTTTTTGAGGCAGAGTCTTGCTCTGTCACCCAGGCTGGAGTGCAGTGGTGCGATCATAGCTCACTGCAGCCTTGACCTCCTAGGCTCACGTGATCCTCCCACCTCAGCCTCCTGAGTAGCTGGGACTGCAGGTGTGCACCACCACACCCAGCTAATTAAAATTTTTTTTTTTTTTTTTTTTTGTAGAGACAGGGTTTCACTATGTTGCCCAAGCTGGTCTCGAACTCTTGGGTTTAAGTGATCCTCCTGCCTCTGCTTCCCAAAATGTTGGGATTACAGATGTGAGCCACTGCACCTGGCTATATCTTTTTTTTTTTTTTTTTTTTTTGAGACGGAGTCTCGCTCTGTCGCCTAGGCTGGAGTGCAGTGGCGCGATCTCGGCTCACTGCAAGCTCCGCCTCCCACGTTCACGCCATTCTCCTGCCTCAGCCTCCGGAGTAGCTGGGACTACAGGTGCCCACCACCTCGCCTGGCTAATTTTTTGTATATTTAGTAGAGACAGGGTTTCACCGTATTAGCCAGGATGGTCTCAAACTCCTGACCTCGTGATCCGCCCGCCTCGGCCTCCCAAAGTACTGGGATTACAGGCGTGAGCCACCGCGCCCGGCCGGCTATATCTTTTCTATATGCTAGTAACATTCAGATTGTTCTCTTCTAGTTATTTTGAAATGCATAATAGATTAATATTAACTACAGTCACCCTGCTGATCTATCAAATACCAGGTTTTATTTTTCCTATCTAACTGTATGTTTGTATCCATTAATCAACTCCCTCCCCACATTCTTTCTGGCCTTTGGTAACCACCAATCTACTATCTTCACGAGATCCCCCTTTTTATTTATAATTTGATGGATACATAATTGTTGTACATATTTATGGAGTACATGTGATATTTTGGTACAAGCACACAATGTATAATGATAAAACCAGGATAATTGGAATAAACATCCCCTCAAACATTCATTATTTCTCTATGTTAGGAGAGATCCATTTTTTAGGCTCCCACATATAAGTGAGAACATGAGGTATTTGTATTTTTGTGTTGGACTTATTTCATGTAACAATGACCCCCAGTTTCATCATGTTCCTGCAAATGACAGAATTTCATTCTTTTCTATGACTTAATAATATAATAATATTCCTTTGTGTATATATATATCACATTTTTTTCTTTTTCTCTCTCTCTTTTTTTTTTTTTTTTGAGATGGAATCTTGCTCTGTCACCCAGACTGTAGTGTGGTGGTATGATCTTGGCTCCCTGCAACCTCCGCCTTCCAGGTTCAAGCGATTCTCCTGCCTCAGCCTCTGGAGTAGCTGGACTACAGGCACGTCCCATCACACCTGGCTAATTTTTTGTATTTTTAGTAGACATGGGGTTTCACCATGTTGGCCAGGCTGGTCTCAAACTCATGACCTCGGGTGATCTGCCCACCTTGGCCTCCCAAAGTGCGGGTATTACAGATGTGAACCACCACACCTGGCCACCACATTTTTCTTTTAAGTTGACAAATAATTGTACATATTCACAGCGTACATAGTGATATTTCATACATATATAGTGACCAGATCAGGGTAGTTACCATCATCTCACAAATTTATCACTTATTTGTGTTGTGAACATTCAGTATCCACCTTCTAGCTATTTCAAACTATAATTCTCCTACAGTGGTACAGAACACTAGAATTTATTCCTCCTATGTAGCTGTTATTTTGTATCCTTTAACAAATCTGTCCTTATCCTCCTTTCCCCTTAAACTTCCCAGTCTCTAGTATCCTTAATTCTACTTTTTACTTCTATGAGATCAACTTTACTTTAACTTCCGTATATGAGTGAGAACATACAATTTTTGTCTTTCTGTGCCTGGTTTATTTCACTTAACATAATGTCCTCCATTTCCATCCATGTTGTTGTGAATGACAGAATTTCATTACTTTTGTGGTTGAATAATATTCCATTCTGTATCTATGCCAAATTTCCTTTTTTTTTTTTTTTTGAGTCAGAGTCTCTGTCTCCCAGGCTGAGTGCAACGGCACAATCTCAGTTCACTGTAACCTCCACCTCCTGGGTTTAAGCAATTCTCCTGCCTCAGCCTCCCGAGTAGCTGGGATTACAAGTGCCCGCCACCACACCTGGCTAATTTTTGTATTTTTAGCAGAGACAGGGTTTCAACATTTTGGCCAGGCTGGTCTCGAACTCCTGACCTCAAGTGACCCTCCCACCTTGGCCTCCCAAAGTTCTCGGATTATAGGCATGAGCCACCATGCCTGGCCACCACATTTTCTTTATCCATTTATCTATTGCTGCACACCTTGGTTGATTCCATATCTTGGCTATTGTGAATAGTACTACGATAAACATAGGGATGCAGATGTCACTCTGATATACTGATTTCTTTTCTTTTGGATAAATGCCCAGTAGTGGGATTGCTGGATCATGTGGTAGTTCTACTTGTAGTTTTTTGAGGAACCTCCATTCTGTTCTCCATAGTGGTTGTACTAGTTTATATTCTAATGAACAGTATATAAGAGTTCCCTTTTCTCTGCATCCTCATCAGCCTTTGCTATTTTTGTCTTTTTTATAATAACTATCTTAACTGGGATGAAATGATAGTTCATTGGGATTTTTCCTTGCAGATAGCTTGTGATAAGTAATGTTGAGCATTTGAAAATATATTTATTGACTATTTGGATGTCTTCTTTTGAGAAATATCTGTTAAGATCATTTGCCCTTTTTTAATCAAATTTTTTTTCTCATTTTACTGTCTATGTCTTGAAAAGTTGATGTAGTTACTATTTTTGATCAGTTCATGTTTCAGTCTTTCTACTCAAGGTATTATGAATAGTTTACACACCACAATCACAGTGTGATAATAGTCTGTGTTTTTCTGTGTACTTACTATTACCAGTGAGTTTTGTACCTTCGGATGATTTCTTATTGCTTATCAACATTCTTTTCTTTCAGATTGAAGAACTCCTTTTAGCATTTCTTATATTACAGGTCTGGTGTTGATGAAATCCCTCAACTTTTGTCTAACTAGGAAAGTCTTTTTATCCTTCATGTCTGAAGGATATTTTTGCTGGATATACTATTATAGAATAAACTTTTTTTCTCCTTCACCTCTTTAAATATGTCACGCATTCTCTCTTGCCCTGTAAGGTTTCCATTGAAAAGTCTCCTGCCAGACCTATTGGAACTCCATTGCATGTTATTTCTTTCTTTTCCATTGCTGCTTTTAGGATCCTTTCTTTATCCTTGACCTTTGGGAGTTTGATTATTAAATGCCTTGAGGCAGTCTTCTTTGGGTTAAATCTGCTTGGCATTCTATAACCTTCTTGTATTTGAATATTGATATCTTTCTCTAGATTTGGGATGTTCTCTGTTATTATCTCTTTCAATAAACTTTCTACCCCTATCTGTCTCCTCTTTAAGACTAAAAACTCTTAGATTTGCCCTTTGGAGGATATTTTCTAGAACTGTGGGTGTGTTTCTTTCTTTTTTATTCTTTTTTCTTTTGTCTCCTCTGTTTTCAAATAGCCTATCTTCAAGCTCACTAATTGTTTCCTCCGCTTGATCAATTCTGCTGGTAAAAGACTCTGATGCATTCTTCAGTATGTCAATTGCATTTTCAACTCCAGAATTTCTTCTTGATTCTTTTTTATTCTTTCAGTCTCTTTGTTAAATTTATCTGATAGGATTCTGAATTCCTTCTCTGTATTATCTTGAATTTCATTGAGTTTCCTCAAACAGCTATTTTGAATTCTCTGTCTAAAAGGTCACATCTCTCTCTCTCTCCAGGAATGGTCCCTGGTGCCTTAGTTTGTTTGGTGAAGTCACATTTTCCTGGATGGTCTTGATGCCTGTGGATGTTTGTTGGTGTCTGAGCATTGAAGAGTTAAGTATTTTTTGTAGTCTCTGCAGTCTGGGCTTGTTTGTACCTGTTCTTTTTAGTAAGGCTTCTCAAATATTTGAAGGGACTTGGGTGTTGTGATCTAAGTTTTTGGTCATGGGATCCATATTTGTATTAGGGGGCACCCCAAGCTGAGTAATGCTATGGCTCTTACAGACTCCTAGAGGTACCGCCTTGATGGTCTTGGATAAGACCAGGAAGAACTCTTTAGATTACAAGGCAGGGACTCTTGTTCCCTTCCTTTACTTTCTGTCAAACAAATGGAATATTGCTCTGTGTGCTGAGGTGCCTATAGCTGGGAGAGCCACTGGGAGTGTGCTAGTTCAAACCTGAAGTTAGCATGGTACTGGGTCTCGCCCAAAGCCTGTGGTAATCACTACCTGGCTACCACCTATGTTCACTCAAGGCCTTAGGGCTCTACAATCGCAGGTGGCAAAGCCAGCCAGGCTTGCAACCTTTCCTTCAGGGCAGCCAGTTCCCCCTGACCCCAGGTGGGCCCAGAGATGTCATCTGAGAGCCTGAAGTCAGAAACCTTAGGAAGCTACCTGGTGCTCTATTTTGCTGCAGTTGAGCTGGCACCCTGGCCACAAGACAAAGTCTTCCCCACTCTTCCCTCCCCTTTCCACAAGCGAAGTCTCTCCCCATGACCATCACTACCCTAGACCCATGGTAAGTACTGCCTGGCTACCTCTGATATTCACTCAAGACCCAAGGGCTCTCCAGTCAACTTGTGGTGAATATTGCCAGGCCTGGGTCTCTCCCTTCAGGGCAATGGGCTCCCCTGTGGCACAGGGCAGGTCCAGAAATGCTGTCCAAGAGCCAAGACCTGAAATCAGGGCCCAAGAGCCTGCTTGGTGCTCTACCCCACTGTGGCCAAGCTGGTACCTAAGCTGCAAGACCAAGTCCCCTTTACTCTTCCCTCTCCTTTTCTCAAGCAGAAGAAGGCTCTCCCCATAGCCACCACAGGTGGGAATGTGCTGGGTTATACCTAAAGCGAGCATGTCTCTGAGTCTCACCCAAGGCCCATGGCAAGTACTGCCTGGGTATTGCTGCTGGTTATTCAGGGCCCAAGCACTCTTGGGTCAGCAGGTGATGAATTCTGCCAGGACTGGGTCCTTCCCTTCCAGGAAGTGGGTTCCCTTCTAGCTCAGGGTGTGTCTAGAAACATCATCCAGGAGCTAGGGCCTGGAATGGGAGCCTCAAGACTCTGCCTGGTGCAATATCCTACGTGGCTGATCTGGTATCCAAGTTGCAAGACAAACTCTATTTTACTTTTCCCTCTCCTCTTCTCAAGCAGAGGGAAGGAGTCTTTTTTGTAGCTGCGAGCTGTGCTGCCCGGGGATGGAAGAGGGGTGTGCAAACATTCCCTTGGCTGCCTTGGTTGGTGTCTCACTAGGTTACTTGCCCCCAAGTCCACTGGTTCCAAGCTCAGCACAGCAGCAGGACTTGCCAAGAAATTGCAGTCCTTGTGGCCTAGACTGCCTTTCAAGTTTAGTTAGGGCTCTGGAACATTTTAGCCCACGGTGGCAAGGCTTGCTGGAACTTAAGTTCTGACAATGGTTCTATTAGGGTGGGCAATTCTGCTCTGGCTATGGCTGGTCTAAATGCTCCCTCCACGGGCTCTGTCTGAGTTCTGCCTGGTATTGCTTTCTGCTGTGACAGGGAGCACTGAGTTCCAGTGCAAAGTCCCAAAATCACTACACTTTTCCTCTTCCAAGCACACAGATTCTCTCTCTGCACCATATAGCTGCTGTAGGGGATGAGGAAGGGGTGGCACTGGCAATTCAAAATGCTTTCCTACCCTCTTCAGTGCCTCTTTCAGTGATATGAACTTAAAACCAAGTACTACGATTGTTCATCTGATTATTGGTTCTTATAAAGGTGCTTTTTTGTGTGGATAGTCATTCAATTGTGGATTGAACCATTGTTCAATTGTTGTGGATAGTTGCTGGGAGGACAATCAATTAAGTCTTCTATTTGTCCATCTTGCTCTGCCTCCACCCTCAAAGTGTTTTAATTTCCTTCTTAATTTCCTCAGTGGCCCATTTATCATTTGGTAGCATGTTGTTTAATTTCCATGTGTTGTGTAATTTCTCGGGTTCCTCTTGTTACTGACTTCTAGTTTCATTCCATTGTGGTCAAAAAAGATACTTGGCATTATTTCTACTTTTTGCAATTTGTTGAGGCTTGTTTTATGACCTAATATATGGTCTGTTCTGTAGAATGTTCCATGTGCTGATGGAAAAAAAAGTGTATTCTGCAGTACTTGGGTGAAATGGACTGTAAATGTTAGTTCTATTTTGTCTAGTGTACAGTTTAACCTCAATGTTTCTTTGTTGATTTTCTGTGGGGTGATGATCTGTCCATTACTAGAGTGGGCTGTTGAAATCACCTACTATTACTGTATTACAATCTATCTCTTCCTTTCAGTCTATTAAAGTTTGCTTTATATACGTGGGTGCTCCAGTGGTGGTGCATAAATATTTATAATTGTTATATCCTCTTGCTGAATTGACCCCTTTATCATTATACAGTGACCGTCTTAATCTCTTTTTATAGTCTTGATGTGCAGTCCCTTTTATCTGATATAAGTTTAGCTACTCCTGCTCTGTTTTGCTTTCCACTTACATGGAATAACATTGTTCACCTCTTCACTTTCAGTCTATGTGTGTTTTTATAGGTGAGGTGGGTTTCTTGCAGGCAGTACACAACTGGGTCTTGTTTCTTTATACATTCAGGTACTTTGTGACTTTCAATTAAAGAATAGAGTCATTTACATTCAGTGTTATTATTGATGAGTAAGGACTTACTCCTGCCATTTTGTTGATGGTTTCCTGGTTGTTTTGTAACTCTTCTCTTCCTTTCTTCCCATCTTCCTTTGTGCTTAAGTGGTTTTTACTAGTAGTATGTTTTAACTCATGGCATCTTATTTTTATTGTATCTATTATAGGCTTTTTGCATAATGGTTATCATGAGGGTTACAAAAAATCTTATAAATATAACTAGTTATTTTAAAGAGATGACAACTTAGATCACAAAAAAATAGAAACAAAGGATAAACTAAAAAAACTCTCTATCTTAACTCCGCCCCCACACACATTTTGTTGCCTCAATTTACATATTTTTATATGGTCTGTCTATTAACAGGTTGCTACAGCTATTGTTATTTTTGATATATTTGTCTTTTAGGCTTCATACTAGAGGTATGCATGGATTGCACACCATAATTAAGCTATTGAAATATTCTGTGGTTGTCCTTATAATTAATTTTACTGGTGGGTTTTATACTTCCAAATGTTTTCTTTTTGCACGTTAGTGTTTCATTCTTCCAGATTGAAAAACTCTATGATTTCTTGTAAGACAGGACTGGTGGTGGTAAATTCTCTTAGTTTTTGTTTGTCTTGGAAAGACTATCTTTCCTTGCTGAATACAGTATTCTTGGAGGCAGTTCTTTTCTTTCAGCTCTTTGAACTCCTGGTCTCAAGCAATCCTCTTACCTCATACTCCCAAGGCACTGGAATTACGAGTGTGAGCCCTCATGCCCAGCTTTATTTCAGCATCTTTTAAAAATTGTCCTTTTGTTTTATTAATATGGGGTATTACATTGTTTTTAACAACTTTATTGAAGGAAAATTAGTATACCCCACACACGTGTTTAGCGTATACTATTTGAGTCTGGATTTATGCATATACTTGTGATACTCCCATCATAATCAGGATAACAAACATATCCATGTTAAGTGTTTTTACAAGTAACACACACACACACACACACACACACACACACACGAAGAAACTCCAGGAGTGATGGACATGGACAGAAAAGCTAACAGTTTATTACATGTTAGACAAACTATGTATTTGTTCATACTATCACACTTAGTAATAGTGTGTAATCCTTTTTATATGTTTGTATTCAGTTTGCTAGTATTATCTTGAATATTTCTTTGTGGACATTTAAGAGAGATATGTTCTGTAGTTTTCTTTTCTTGTACTGCTTTTGTGTGGTTGTTAGATTATAGTAATCCTGGTCTAGTAGAATTAATGAGAAAGCATTCCCTCCTCTTCTGTCTTTTGTAAAAGTATTTGTGAATTACTGTTTTTAATTCTTCATTAAAAATTGGCAGGGTACATTTGTGATACCACTTGGATCTGGGATATTCTTTGTAAAAGTTTTAAAAATCAATTTAATATCTTTACTTTTTATAGATTTATTGATGTCTTCTATTCCTTCTTGAGTTTTTTTCAATCATTTTTATCTTTATATAAGTTTGCTTATAATTTGTAGTGTTCCAAGTTTCTCTCATTGTCATGGTAGTTGATATACAAAAATAATGTGGGGAAATGAGTCAATCCACAAATACCCTATATCTAAAGATCCTCTGATATAGGAGAGAGAAAATGACTGTAACTGCTGTAGCTCCCTACCCCTCAGACTTACTGTATGAGACAAATGAGATATTGAATCTAAAGTAAATTAAGAAATTATGCCATTTGATTTTGAGTTTTATCAAAACAGTAGACTGAGCCTACATCTCCTTTTGTGCCAAAATTTAGTAACATCAAAAATGCAGCTTGTAATTAGAAAAAATACAAAATAATATTATAAGTGAGGAATTTTATCAACGGTCAATAATTTCATGAACCATAGTGGTTAATATTTGTACAGCACATAGAATACACATTTATTGTGTTCATATATTTATTATATACCAAAACAGTTGGTTTTGTGATAATGTCACCTAAGATAATATCAAATGTGCCAATTAATCCTTCTTTTCAATTAATCTTTGTATGATATATTTAAAACTATAATGTATTAGGAATACATATTTAAGTGGTTTGGGGAAATGCATAATACATTCTTTTGGCATCTTGAAAATGTAGTCCCACTCCCTACTGTCCTGCATAGTTTCCACTAAGAAGTCTCCTGCCAGACAGCTTAGAGTTCTTTTATGTTATTTGCTTCTTTTCTCTTGCTACTTTTAGGATCCTCTCTTTGTCCTTGAACTTTGAAAGTTTGATTATTATATGCCTTGGGTTAGTCTTAATTGGGTCAAGTCTCTCTGGTGTTCTCTGAACTTCCTGTATATCTTTTATATCTTTCTCAAGTTTTGGAAAATTTTCTGTTATTATTTCTTTGAGTAAGCTTTCTACTCCTTGCTCTTGCTCAACTCCCTCTTGAACACCAATAACTCTTAGATTTTGTCTTTTGAGGTAACTTTCTATACATCTTCTAGGCAATCCTCACTCCTTTTCATTCTTTTTCCTCCTCTGATTGTATAATTTCAAATACCCTGTCTTCTTGCCTTTTTTTTTTTTTTTTTGCGACAGAGTTTCACTCTTCTTGCCCAGGCTGAAGTGCAATGGCACGATCTTGGCTCACTGCAACCTCCATCTCCTGAATTCAAGAGATTCTCCTGCCTCAGCCTCCTGAGTAGCTGGGATTACAGACACCTACAGGCACCAACCACCATGCCTGGCTAGTTTTATATTTTCAGTAGAGATGGAATTTCACCATGTTGGCCAGGCTGGTCTCGAATTCCCGGCCTCAGGTGATCCACCTGCCTCAGCCTCCCAAAGTGCTGGGATTACAGGCATGAGCCACAACACCCGGCCATGTCTTCCCGATTTTTTTTTTTTTTTTTTTTTGAGACAGAGTCTTGCTCTGTCACCCAGGCTGGAATACAATGGCATGATCATGGCTCACTGCAACCTTCGCCTCCTAGGTTCAAGTAATTCTCCTGCCTCAGCCTCCCAAGTAGCTAGGATTACAGGTGTATGCCACCATATCCGGCAAATTTTTGTATTTTTAGTACAGACATAGTTTCACCATGTTGGTCAGGCTGGTCTTGAACTCATGACCTCAAGTGATCCGTCTGCCTTGGCCTCCCAAAGTGCTGGGATTACAGGCATGAGCAACCGTGCCTGGCCTCCTCCTGCTTTTTGATTCTTCCCTCTGCTTGATCCATTCTGCTGCTGAGAGGCTCTAATGAATTTTTCACTTCTGCCAATGTATTTCTTAATTCCAAGATTTGCTTGATTTTTAGAAAATTATTTCAATATCTTTGTTAAATTTCTTTTATACATTTCTGAATTGTTTTTCAGTGTCATCTTGGAGATCACTGAGTTTCCTTAAAACCGCTGCTTTGAATAATTGGTCAGAGACCTCATATTTTGTCATCTTGTTAGGATCAGTCACTGGTTCTTTGCTTTGTTCATTTGGGGAGATCTCTGTTTGCAGATTTCTCTTATGGATGTATGTCTGTCTTTGCACTGAAAGACTATTTATTCCAGTAATCTGTATCTCACTTGTTTTGATTTTTATTGGGTATGTTTGCTTAGAGATTCTTAGTAATTTACCTGTTGAATTCCTTACTTTTTAAAATGTCAGGTCTTGAAGAAATCATCTAATAACTAAGTGGAAGTTGCAAAGGATGCCGCAAGATAATATATATTTTTATCTTATCATCAATAGAAATATCTGAATTGTCAATATGAAAGACACACTATATACATGTGTCACCAATTGATATGATTTGAGTATATGTCCCCACCAAATCTCATGCTGAATTGTAATCCGCAAGGTTGGAGATGGGGCCTGTGGGAGGTGTTTAGATGATGGGGGCAGATCGCTTATGGCTTGGTGCTGTCTTCATGATATTGAGTTCTTGTTTTGTTGTAATGTGTGCCCCCCGACTCTCTCTTGCTCTTGCTTTCACCATGTGATATGCCTATTCCCCCTTCACCTTCCGCCATGAGTAAAAGCTCTCTCCCTAGAAGCTGAGCAGATGCCAGCACCATGCTTGTATAGCCTGCAGAACTATGAGCCAGTTAAACCTCTTTTCTTTAAAAATTGCCCAGTCTCAGATATTTCTTTATGGCAATGCAAGAACAGCTAATATACCAATTCAATCACTAAGGGCATTTTTAAAATGGTGTTAGGGAGTACTATTTAAAGATGCCAAAACAGATGTTGAATTATATAAGTACATTTTGATGCCACTAGAGAATGAGAGAAGTCTGCTGACCTTCACACCAAGGTAGTCATCCAATTTTGTCCCTCAAGTTTCCTCTGAATTTTCCTAGGTTCTTTTCACTGTAACTCTTCTTCCAAAAGTTCAGTAGGTCATAAGCCAGAAGACAAACGTGCATCACTGTCTAGGATAAGTATGTATTAGTTTCCCTGACTTGAATTAGGAAGATGTGATGTCACTAAGGACATTGTCTGCTTTTCTTCATGCAGTTGCAGCATCCTCTGCTGGGCATTATACTTTATAGTTTTTAAGAAAGGCTTTTATAGCTTTTGAGGAATAGCTTTTATAGCTTTTGGTATAGTAATAAAATATATAGTGCTTCATTATTTTCATTAAGGTATTAACATCCCAAAGCATCATTTAGTGCTTATTGTAAGATTTAAATATATATAAGAGAAATGCAATTATATAAGTACAAATAATATTAATACTACCACTAATAAGTGGTAATATGCTATTATGAAAACTCTTCAACTTAAAAAAGTTTTCAGAGCTGGGGTCTGACTCTGTTGCCCAGGCTACAGTGCAGTGGCATAAGCGTAACTCACTGCAGCTTTGAACCCCTGGGCTCAAGTGATCCTCCTTCCTCAGCCTCCCTAAGTAGCTGGGACTACAGATGCATATCTTCATGCTCAGTTAATTTTTAATTTTTTTTGTTTCTTATTTTTTAGAGGTGGGATCACACTATTTGTCCGGACTGGCCTAGAACTCTTGTCCTCAAGTGATCTTCCAACCTCAGCCTCCCAAGTCAGTGGGATTACAGGCATAAGCCACCATGCATAGGTTCAATTAAAATTTTAAGAGGAGGACATCAGCTAGGTTGTTGACTAGAAGCTCCTGTGCTTGTCTCCCACACAAAGACAGCCAAAGAAATGAATAAACAACTATATTTTGATGAAAATAACTGAAGGAGAAAACAGAAATATATCAAAGGAGTAGTATAGGCCGGTGCAGTGGCTCACGCCTGTAATCCCAGCGCTTTGGGAAGCCAAGGCAGCGGATCACTTGAGGTCAGGAGTTCGCGACCAGACTGGCCAACATGGTGAAATCCTATCTCTACTAAAAATACAAAAAGCAGCTGGGCATGGTGGTGCACACCCGTAAACCCAGCTATTCGGGTGGCTGAGGCACAAGAATCGCTCAAACCTGGGAGACGGAGGTTGCAGTGAGGCGAGATCAGACCACAGCACTCCAGCCTGGGTGACAGAGTGAATGAGACTCCGTCTCAAAAAGAAAAAAAAAGTAGTAGTATAAACTCTGTAGAGCATAGAAACCCAGGATAGTTACATAAAGAAAAGAAGGAAGCAGCTCACATCCTACCTCGTCCATACTCCAGTCAGGACCAGCTCAGAACCGGGATAAACTTTTCAGTGAAGGGAAAGGTAAGCAAGAGGAACCCAGCAGCCCTCATCACCACTGAGATTACTACAGTCCTCACCACTGGGAAATCCTGTATTTCTCAAAGGTGCTAAGCCCAGCAGAGGGAACTGCCTGGTGTCCATATGGCTGCACTTCTTCCAGAGGAGTCAATGCTGTGCTCTGCCCTTCATGGGCTGCTACTCTGCTGTGCCATGTTAGATCCAGAACCATGGCTGGAGGAAGTCCTGCTCGGGAGGTGAGGGGCTATTGCACCTCTCCATTCCTGAGGGTTTGTTACACCTGTACCACCACTGTCTGGTGGTTCACCATCCCTAAATCAAGCTGCTGCTACACGCTATTCCATGGATTCAAGCTGCTCTGCCCTACCCCTCCCAGTGATTGCTGTGTCCTGCCCCCTAGTGCAGGAGCTGCAGCAGCAGTATCCTACCTTCCAGGGATATGGTGCCTTGGCCACCCAGATCAGTAATGCCCCTAGCACTGGAGGTGAAGCAGTGCCTACTGGGAAACTGGTGGCTTGGCTACCCAGAGCAGTCATGTCCCCCTGTACTGGACCTGAGGTAGTGCCTTCTAGGGAACTGGTGCTGTGGGCCACCCAGAGCAGTCACCCCCCCGGTGTTGGAGCTGAAGAGTCACTCCACTTCACAAGATTATGGGTCCCTTAGCTGAGCCAAGCAGCTGCAGTTCCCAGGGCTGAGCCAATGTGGTGCTGCACATCCCAGGAAAACACAGGATTGGGTGAACTGAAACAACCTACTCTCCAGGCTGAACAACTGCAGAACCCTGCTTCCATGAAACCAGACTATCCCCTAGCAGAGGATGCACCCTGCCTTACCAGGGAGTGGAGTCATCACTGTGCTGCTCCCTGTACCCCAGGGCCCAAGCCACAGCTATGCCCTGCCATTCCTGGGACATTAGTGCCACTGCACTTGACTTCACAGAGCCTGCAATGCTGCTGTGTCCTACCATCCCATAGTCCAGGGTCCTCACTACACAGGTTCTCATCCCCGTCCAGGGCCTGAGTGGCTGCTGTGCTCTATAAGCCTCTGGTTCCCAAATTGCAGCTGTGCCCTGCTTCCCAAAGCCTGAACCTCCAGCACACCCCTGCTTTTTTTTTTTTTTTCTTGAGACGGAGTTTTGCTCTTATCGTCCAGGCTGGAGTGCAATGGCACAATCTCAGCTCCCTGCAACCTCCTTCTCCCGGGTTCAGGCAATTATCCTGCCTCAGCCTCCTGAGTAGCTGGGATTACAGGCGCCCGCCACCATGCCTGGCTAATTTTTGTATTTTTAGTAAAGACGGGATTTCACTATGTTTGCCAGGCTGGTCTTGAACTCCTGACCTTAGGTGATCCACCTGCCTCGGCCTCCCAAAGTGCTGGGATTACAGGCGTGAGCCACTATCCCCAGCCCAGAGCACCCCTTCTTTACCAGAGCTGGGCCAGTGCTGCCCCTGAGGAGCAGGGGCAGAGTCACAGCAACAACCCAGCCCCCTAGGCCTGAGCAGCTGAGGTATGCACCAGAGTCACAGACCTTAGCTTTATGGCAGTCAGCACCTACCTATGCCTCAGAGAGTGAACATGTGTCCAAATTCCCAGGTGCCACAGTAGAGTGGTGAGGTCCTGAGCACAGGACCCTGGCTCCACAGCTGCTCTGAGCATCTCCTCCCTGAAACCCAGTGCCACTGCAGTTGCTTGTGGTTCATGTCAGACTTGATACCAAGAAGGATCCCCTCAGTAAAGACTCCCCATTTTGGGGAAAACAAACACAGGAGGACCCTAAAAGCCCTTGCCATGGAGGACACTAATGGCATATGCTGCTGATGCCACTGCAACAAACTTCTGCAGCCTAGGTCACTAAGGCACCCATGTCATCACTGACGTTAATTGCAGCTGAAGATTCTGCATGGCAGCTATACTATTACATCTACTTGTAACCAAAGCCACCATACCCTTCCCAGCTGGCACCCTAAGACCCATCTGCAGGGGAAAGCCTTTTCTTATGAAAGTCATTCTGTAAGGTTTGGAAGCACTGACAATTCCACCAGATGTGCAGACACCAATGCACAGACAGAGAAACATGAAAAAGAAAACATGACATCACCAAAGGAACAAAATAATCCTCGAATAATTGACCCTAAAGAAATGTAAATTTATAAATTTCCTGAAAAGGAATTCAAAATAATGATCTTAAGGAAGCTCAGCAAGATATATGAGAATACAAATGGATAATTCAAGATCAGAAAAACAACAAAAATGTAAATTAGGAGGGAAGAGTAAAAGTCCACAGTATTTATATGTGACCAAATTTAAGATGTTACCATCTTAAAATAGTCTATTGTAACTATAAGAAGTTTTATGTAAGCCCCATGGTAACAACAAAGCAAAAGACTATAGCAGATACACAAAGAGAAAGATAAAGGAATTAAAGCTTAGCTACTAGAAAAAATTACCAAATCACAAAGGTGGACTACAGAGAGAAAGCAATGAAAAAATGACCTACAAAACAACTAGAAGACAACAGTAAAAAAACAGTTCCAAGAGGGGAGTAATAGCAATAAATGTCTGTGTTTAAAAAGGAGGAAGATCTCAAATAAATAGCCTAACATTAAACCTCGAAGAGCTAGAAAAAGAACAAACTAAACCTAACGTTAGCAGAAGGAAGATCAGGACAGAAATACATTAAATAGAGAACAGTAAAACCATAGGAAAAAAAATCAACAAAATCCGGAGTTTGTTCTTTGAAAAAATAACCAAAATCAACACACCCCTAGCTAAGTACTAAGTATGAAAAAAAGAGAGAAGACTCAATAAAATCAGAAATGAAAGTGGAGACATTATAACAGACACCTTAGGACAAAAAAAGTGTCATAAGGGACTATTATGAACATTATATGCCAACAAGTTGGATAACCTGAAAGAAATTATAACCTAATAAGACTCAATCAGAAAGAATAGGTAGCTTGAACAGACTAATGACAAGTAAAAAGACCGAAGAAGCAATCTAATGATGCACCTTAAGGAACTAGAAAAGCAAGAACAAACCAAACCCAAAATTAGTAGAAGGAAAAAAATAATAAAAATCAGAGAAGAAATAAACAAAATAGAAACTAAAAGAATTGCGAAAGATCAATGAAACAAAATGTTGGTATTTGAAAAAGATAAACAAAATTAACAAACTATTAGCTAAACACTAGCTAAACTAACTCCCGTTAAAATTTTTTTTTTAATTTTTAACTAACTTCCTAGAGCCATAACACTCCCCCTTTTTTCAGAAACAAAGAGAGAAGACTCAAATAAAGTCAGAAATGAAAAAGGAGGCATCACAATAGATACCACAAATATACAAATGATTAGTAGAGACTATTATCAACAACTATACACCAAAACAATACAAAAACTAGAAGAAATTGATAAATTCCTGGACACATATAACCTACCAAAATTTTACCAAGAAGGAATGAAAAAACTGAACAGACCAATAACAAGTAATGAGATTGAATCAGTAATAAAAAGTCTCCCAACAAAGAAAAGTCCAGGATCAAATGAGTTTACCACTGAATTCCACCAGACTTTTGGAGAAAAACTAACAAATTCTTCTCAAACTATTCAAAAAATTTGAAGAGAAGGGGACTATTCTAAATTCATTCTACGAGACCAGCACTACCCTGATACAAAACCAGACAAGGACACAACAGCAATAACAAAATTACAGGGCAATATCATTCATGAACATAGACACAAATGTTCTCAATAAGACGCTAGCAAACTGAATCCAACAACATATCAAAAAGATATGATCATGACACCATGATCAAGTGGGTCTTATCCTGGGGATGGCTCAGTATATCCAAATCAATAAACATGATATACCACAACAACAGAATGAAGGACAAAAACCATATGACCATCTCAATAAAGGCAGAAGAAGCATTTGATAACATTCAACATCCCTTCATGATACAAACTCTTCAACAAATTAGGCATAGAAGGAACATATCTCAATACAATAAAGTCCATATATTACAAAACCCACAGCTAACATCATATTGAATGGGGAAAAAGCTGAAAGCCTTTCCTATAAGAAATGAAATAAGACAAGGATGCTCACTTTCATCACTCTTATTCGGCGTAGTACTGGAAGTCCTAGCCACAACAATCAGGCAAGAGAAAGAAATAAAGAGCATCCAAATTGGAAAGAGAAACTCAAACTGTCCCTCTTTGCAGATGACATGATCTTATATATAGAAAATCCTAAAAACTGAACCAAAAACTCTTAGAAGTGACAAACAAATTCAGTAAAGTTGCAGGATACAAAATCAACATACAAAAATCAGTAATGTTTCTATAGACCAATAACAAGCTAGTTGAAAAAGAAATACAGAAAGCAATCCCATTTCTAATAGCTACAAAAAATAAAATACCTAGGAATAAATTTAACCAAGGAGGTAAAAGATCTCTACAATGAGTACTATAAAACACTGATGAAAGAAATTGAAGAAGGCAAACAAATGGACACATCCCATGCCCATGGATCTAAAGAATTAATATTGTTGGCTGGGCACGGTGGCTCACACCTGTAATCCCAGCACTTTGGGAGGCAGAGGCAGGTGGATCAACTGAGGTCAGGAGTTCGAGATCAGCCTGACCAACATGGTGAAATCCCATCTCTACTAAAAATACAAAATTAGCCAGGCATGGTGGCGCATGCCTGTAATCCCAGCTACTTGGAGGCTGAGGCAGGAGAATCGCTTGAACATGGGAGGTGGAGGTTGCAGGGAGCTGAGATTGTGCCACTGCACTCTAGCCTGGGCAACAAGAGTGAAACTCCGTAAAAAAAAAAAAAAGAATTAATATTATTAAAATGACCATAATATCCAAAGCAATCTTTAGATTTAATGCAATCCCTATCAAAATACCAACGACGTTCTTCACAAATCCACAGTTGATTGGATTCATGGATGTGGAACCTGTGCATATAGAAAACTGACATATATCCTAAGGAAATGAAATCAGTATATCAAAGAGATGTTTACACTTCCATGTTCATTCCAGCATTATTCACAATTGTCACAATATGGGAACAACCTAACTGTCTATAAACAGATGAATGGATAAAGAAAATGTGGTATAATACACAATGAAATACTATTCAGCCTTTAAAAAGAAGGAAATCCTGTTATTTGTGACAACATAAATGAACCTGGTAGATACTATGTTAAGTGAAATAAGCCAGGCATAGAAAGACAAATACCACATGATCTTACTTATATAGAATCTTAAAAAGTTGAGCCGGTGCGGTGGCTCATGCTTGTAATCCCAGCACTTTGGGAGACTGAGGCAGGCAGATCACTTGAGGTCAGGAGTTCAAGACCAGCCTGGCCAACATGGTGAAACCTGGTCTCTACTAAAAATACAAAATTAGCTGGGCATGGTGGTGCCTGCCTGTAATCCCAGCTACTTGGAGGCTGAGGTAGGAGAATAACTTGAACGCTGGAGGCAGAGGTTGCAGTGAGCCAACATTGCACCACTGCACTCCAGCCTGGAAGACAGGGTGAGACTCTGTCTCAAAAAAAAGAAAAAAGTTGAAGTAATTGAAGTAGAGAGTAGAATGGTGGTGGAGGGCGAAGTGGTGGTGGAGAAATTATTTTTTCTCTTTTTCTCTTCTGTAGTGTAGAATGGTAGAATGGGGGCAGTGGTGTAAAAAAAAAGAAAAGAAAAAAAGAGGAAAAATAATTTAGATTTACTTCAGAGTATATTACCCTTAAATTGCCCACCAACTTAGGTCACTTTTTTAAGCTTTAGGTAATGAAGAGCTGAGGTAGACATCAGTTTATAACTGCTTAAAGAGGAGAAAATTACAGATATGCAAGATAGGAAGCATTTTTACACATGGAGGGGAAAAAAGCAAACTTGTTAAATTTATATCATTAAGAGATCTGTGAAGTGACTGAGGTATGTTATGCTAGCAATAAAAAAATAAAAACTCCTGCTCAAATAGTTTCAATAGTTCCCTAAAGTTCAAATTTCTATCATAGGATTCTAGATCTTTTTATGAATAAAGAAAGCATACAAACAGAGTGCAAAGGCATTACTAATTCTTTATTGCTAGCCGGCCACATGGTTCAAGGAATGAATGTAGGATCTGGAGATAGGATTTGAATTCAAGTCCTTGCTCCAATACTTAGCAGCATTGCTACTCTAGTTACTAAATTAGATTTTGCCTCAACTTGTCTTTCGAACTCTATCTCCCAATGCATTTGCTTGCCATACATATACATATTTTTTTTCTTTTCACACCAGAATACTCATCACTTCCTAAATATGCACCAGGTTTTCCTTCTTTAGTCATCGTTTACCTAGTTCCATACTTCTGGAATGCTTTTCACTCAACTTTTTTACTTGTTGGAAGCTTACCTACTTTTTAAAAGTTTAGTATAAATGCCACCTTGTCTCTGAAGCCATCTCAGATTTCACCAGATGGAATTAATTCTCCTTCCCCCCCCCCCTTTTTTTTTTTTTTTTTGAGATGGAGTCTCGCTCTGTCGCCCAGCCTGGAGTGCAGTGGTGCCATCTCGGCTCACTGCAGCCTCCGCCTCCTGGCGGAGATTCAAGCAATTCTCTGCCTCAACCTCCTGAGTAGCTGGGATTACAGGCGCCCACCACCACACCCAGCTAATTTTTTGTATTTTGAGTAAGACAGGATCTCACTATCTTGACCAGGTTGGTCTTGACCCCTGACCTTGTGATCCACCCACCTCAGGCCCCCAAAGTGCTGGGATTACAGGCGTGAGCCACCACGCCTGGCCTCTCCTTCACCTTTCTTACCTCTGTTTGCAGTTTATCTATAGCACCATCAGCCTATTTCACGAATATATCTGCCTTACAAAATCACATGAAGTCAGAAACGGAACCTGAAAGAGACTGACAGCCCAAGAGGCAGTTTGGTCACTTTAGTTCTCCCTTAATTTCAATACGTCTCTACTCAAGCCATCCCAAACACAGTTTAAAGATTGTGTGCTTGCTATTGTCAATTTCAAGACAAATCTCCTAACTCTCACTTCCAATGAGAATGCACATTCCTTAAGCTCCTTTTTAAGGAAATGCAGGACCTCTTACAGCTAAGAGGTTGTCTTTTCCACTAGATAGTAAACTCTTTTCGGAGCTATGTTTTCATATTTCTCAGAGTGCCCTGACTACATTCCCTATTTGCTGCATTGAAGGAAAAACAAAAATCCCTCAAGAATCAGGAGAAACATAGCAAGACCCCATCTCTACAAAAATAAAAGTCAGGTGTGGTGGCGTACACCTGCAGTCCTAGCTACTTGGGAGACTGAAGTGGGAAGATTGCTTGAGCCCAGGAGTTTGAGGATACAGTGAGCTATGCACTCTAGCCTGGGTGACAGAGTGAGAACTTGTCTCAAAAGAAAGAAAGAGAGAAAGAGAGAGACAGAGAGAGAGAGAAAAGGAAGGAAGGAAGGAAGGGAGAGAGAGAAAAGGAAAGGAAAGGGGAAGGGAGGGGAGGCAAAGGGAAGGGATGGGACCGGACGAGACAAGACAAGACAAGTCAGGAGGAGGCAACTGAGCATGCATGTGCTAAGGCTAATTTAACAAAGGGTCAGTAGAAACAGATGCTTTTTTAGCATTAAAAGATCTAAAACTTAGCCTAGTAAGAATATGAATGTAGTGCACATGTCAGATGAGAGCTATTGATACAAGATGAATTTTCACAGTGAGAGATGTCTAGATGTCTGATTTTTTTTTTATATCCAGAGTAACCAAAAACAAACAAAAGAGAAAATGGGAAGAAAAAGCTTGGAGTTACTCCTCTCCATCCAGCAGAGAAAATAGGCAAAAGAAATGATAATGATGAAGTGCCACCGCATGACTAAGGCATGATTTTCTAGGCATACCTGTTAGAGGAAAGGCTACAACCTGAAATAGAGGGGAAGAGGGCAGATTGCGGGTGTTTTGGAGTATGGAAGAAGTGACAAAAGAGTTCAAATGTGCCAGGCACAGGGAAAAGAGAGAAGAAGGTATTCTAAGGAAGAGAAAGTTCTCTGTAGGATATTTTTCAACAGTAGAGGAAATGCCCAAGAAAAGCGATGTGGTCCTAGACACATGATTTGTGCACAACGAGCTGGATTGGGGATACAATGGCCAACTTTTCTTTTCCTTTCTGTTTTTTTGTTTCTTTGCTTTTGTTGTTGTTGTTGTTGTTGTTGTCGTCGTTGTTTGAGACACGGTCTCACTCTATTGCTGAGGCTGAAGTACAGTAGCACAATCATAGCTCACTGTGCAGCCTTGAAGCTGAGACTACAGGCACACACCGCCACACCTGCATGCCCAACTTTTCATCTCTCCTGGAAGTTCTGCATGATTTAAATTTTACCATCGTAAAACTGGAGTACAGAATTAATTGAACTTTATTTGAGTTTCCTTGTTTGTTCAATCAGAAGAGAGGGGAACATGTTTACTCCCTTTTCTGATTAGTGTAAGGCATCTGAGATACATTTGGAGTAGCTGACAGGGAAAAAAATAGAAAATCTCTCTTGGAACTTATCTGACTGTTAAACATATTTTATTTCTTTGAGTCTTCTTTTTTCTTCCCAAAAGGCATTGAAGCCTTAGATAAAGAGCCTAGTACTATGATTACATAGTCATCATTCAAAACTAAAGATAGAACATATTTCATTTTTCTTAAACTGATTATCTAGAGCAGACTCTAAATATAAACGAGAGTACAGATACTGAGGAATTACCACTTACTTATCATACAGAGACAGGACAGTCTGTATAAACATGAGATCTGGAGTAATAAGAGACTTGATTTCAATTTCTGCTATGGTCTGGGGGATTTTGGATGAGGCATTCACTTCTCTGAATTTTGATTAAAGTGAAAAAGATTTCTGGCCGGGCGCGGTGGCTCACGCCTGTAATCCCAGCACTTTGGGAGGCCGAGCCAGGTGGATCATGAGGTCAGGAGATCCAGGCCATCCTGACTAACACAGTGAAACCCCGTCTCTACTAAAAAACACACACAAAAAAATAGCCAAGCATGATGGCGGGCGCCTGTAGTCGCAGCTACTCGCGAGGCTGAGGCAGGAGAATGGCGTGAACCCGGGAGGCGGAGCTTGCAGTGACCGAGTTTGTGCCACTGCCCTCCAGCCTGGGCGACAGAGCGAGACTCGGTCTCACAAAAAAAGAAAAGAAAAGAAAAGAAAGATTTCTGTGAGAAAGTTAAATGAGACAATTTATGCAAAACTAGCAAAAACATCGTATTATATAAATATATAACATTTCAGGCCAGGCATGGTTGCTCACGCCTGTAATCTCAGTGCTCTGGGAGGCTGAGGTGAGAGAATCACTTGAGCCCAGGAGTTTGAGACCAGCCTGGGCAACATAGCGAGACCCTTTCTCTACAGAAATAATAATAATAAAAAAACTTACCTAAGCATGGTAGTGTGCGCCTGGTAGTCCTAGCTACTCGGGAGGCTGAGGCAGAATTGCTTGAGCCCAGGAGTTTGATGCTGCAGTGAGGTATGATCACACCACTGCACCCCAGCCTAGGTTACAGAGTCTCTAAAAAAAAAAAAAAAAAGTACACACACACACACACGCAGGGTAAGTAGGATGAAGTCTAATCTAACACATATTAGACTTCATCCTACTTACCCTGAAAAAATAATCCATTTAATCATACTTACATGGTTAAAGAGGAAATTGTTAGTACCCTTGTGGTGGGAACTACATTAATGTTGTGAAAGAGAAATAATTATAAATATTCCACAATTAATTTCAAGTGTTTTCAACAAAGAAATAATCTGTTGCTAGAAAGAGGACTTGTTAAAACCTCACTATGCGATTCCCTTTCACTCTGCTTACATAAACTGTTATTTCAAGGAGCCCCTGTTAAGTACAATACGTCACACATATAACTGATAGAAGTTTTGAGAAGAGGGGAAAAGTACTTGGATCCTTAATTTCTTGTTCAAGATATGTTTAAAAGTCACAGGTGTCCATATTCCTTTTGACAGTTCTTTTATGTTAGAAATAGGGAAATAATGTCTTCAGAAGCTTTTCTCTAGTAACCTAGGATATATTTCAATGCAATGACATTAGCCTAAATAATGAAAATTGAAGAACCGGTTAACCGTCAAAAGTATAATCTATGAAATTCTTGGACAACTATACAGCCTATAGACTGCTTTTTCAAATCTCAGAAATAACATTTAAAAATACTAATAATGTGTACTCATACAGAGGAAAAGCATTGTGATCTCAAGTTTACCTACAGTTATTGTGACAGTTTGATCATCTATGGTGCACGTCTTTCTTTTATTTAAAGTACTTGAAGCAGCAGGCTTATGAAAGTTCAATTTTAATGATGAGTAATCCATCTCACTAAGGAATATATAAAATTAACTATTAGTTTTCCTATTTGTCTTGTTTATCTGGCATAAGACTTCCTGGCCTTCAAGTTTTAAATCCATGAGAAGAAAATTATACTTTACATTTGTGAAAAATGTTCCTGTGTTTTCCCCTGATGCTACTATTCTGTAGTTAAAATATACACACACATATATATGTATTTATTTATTTACAATAAGACAATTTTTTTGGTTTTAAATACATTTGAAGTTGTTAGGAGACTGTCATGAATTTTTAAATAAATGTAATGGTTCTTTTTTGTGTTTTTCCCTGATGCTACTATTCTGCAGTTTAAAAATATATATATACGTATATTTACAATAAGACAGTTTTTTAAGTTTTTAATAATATATTCAACTTGTTAAGAGACTGCCATGAATTTCTAAATAAATCTAATAGCTTTTTGATACATTTGCATTATTTGAATGTGATTTAATAACTCAAATGTGACATTGACTAATACTTTGAATATTCTTGTTGTATTACAATCAAATCTATATTTTCTGTAACTTGACTCTTTTGAATTTTGGTTGTTTTTTGTCAACAGAAGTTAGGAAGACTAGGGACTTTGACTTCCTTTTTTGGGTGAATTTTGGTTGGTAAATGATATTTCTGTAAACACTTGCCAAGTGTCTCTACCATTTATTAAACCATGTAAAGACCATAAACCTCCATGACATGCTTTAAATAAAACATTGCGGGACTTTTGTCCCTATATTTTCCTATTTAACACATAGAATAGTTTTGAAGGCAGTTGTTTAAACAGGTCATATGATTTTCATGTTCTGAAACTCTAATTATCTTTGAGTTAAGAAATGTTAACAATCTACTAGAGACATAATATCTATTTTTTGTTTTTAGTTTGAAGTGATTGTTTTTGTCATTCCGAAGAGAGTTAGTTAAATTTAATACTAAGATGCTTACTAAACCTTTTTTTATTTCCAGGAGCATTTCTCAATGCATTTACCAACCATGTGTCAGATCGTACTGTTAATATTTATTAAAGTATGTTGGATTAGGTATTCTTTTCAACTGTTTTCTCTTTTTTTTGGTTAATTTAAAATTTTCTTTTAATACATAATTTGATATCTCTATGTTTCTTCAAGTTTATAATTCCCAGCAATATCACTTTTTCTGTTAAGGTAGAATTAAGTGTTTTTTTCTTGTTGATTTTTTATAGATATTTTTATCTTGCTGACATTTTCTTCTGTTTGCTTTATAAAATGATTTTTAAATGTTTCCAAATAAAAGGTTTTTTTGCCAGTTCTTACCTTTATTTTGTGTTCAAACTCTTAGTTTGAATATCCATAAAATCATTTTCCTCCCATAAATTAAATTCTTTGAAGTATAGCCTGCTCTGAATTTTAAAATGGTAGCTGTCCAAAATAAGTAGTTTAGTTTAGCACTCACATTGATTCTCTTTTATTTGATCTGAAAAGCATAATAAAATACAACCATAATATAACAAAACAGGTGTTTTAAGTCACGTTATTTAATACTAAATCATTAATATTTGTGATTATAATTATTTTGTAAAACTCTAAGAAATGATTTAAAAAATAACATTGGAAAAAATCTGCTGAATAATACAGTAATAAAATTGACTATGAAATGAAGCTGCCTTATGAAAATTTGATTCTATTAGCTTAATTTGGGAAAGTAATCAAAACCATATCATCTATTAAATGAAAGTGACGATAGTATTTACCTTACTATGGATTGTGAGGATTAAGTAAGACAATGCACACAAAGTGCTCAGTATAGTACCCAGTACTCTAAAAACTTAATAAATGCTAACTATGATCACTCTCCCCCTATTTTCCATGCTGTCCTCCACCCTCCCCCACCTCAGTCCCAAACTGCTTTGCCTCTGAAATTTCAACTTTTATATTCCATTCTTTGATGATAATACGCTTCTCTCTGATCATTATTTCAGTTTTTACTACCTTAATTCCACTATAATTTTAGTGCATTGAGATTCCCATACACTTGACTTTTCCCTTCCCACACCCCCAATTTATAACCACTCTTTGGCTTTACTTCCAGCCCTACCTCTTTCCCTACGCAGCACAAAACCCCATGGTCCACAAATTTAATAGCAGTCCCTTGGGTTTTGTTAATCCTAATGGTGTATCTATCAGTCATCGGATCTGAAGCCAGAAAAACCCTGGGTTCAAATTATGGTTCTATTATTTACCAGCTGTGACAACTGAGCAAGATGTTTAGCCTCTCTTGGTATATGTACAATGATGATTGTTAGAGTTAAATGCAATAATGTATACAGAGCATTTACCACAGGGGCTGGCATATATTAGACCTTCAAGCTAATGTTCTTTTTTAAACTACACAAACAACTGATGATTACACATTCTTAGTAAAACATTCACACAACACAAAAATACACGCAGTTAAAAGGTAAGTATTCCTTCATCTTGATCTCCCCTCTCGAAACTACACACACACACACACACACACACACACACACTCACACTTCTCTCTCCACAGATAACCACTGTTAACAGTCTGATCTGTATTCTTCTGGACTAAATTCTACTTATTCATTGACCCTATGCTTAGGTACCATCTCTTAGGTACCATCTCCTCCTGAAGTTTTCTCTGATTCTCATAGACAGGATCAGTTAACTCCTCCTATTTGCTTCTTACCTTTGTCAGAGTACCATAATGTATTTATGTTTAATTTTTGCTTTATATTGAGCCTGAATTGTGAATACCCTGAGAGTGAGGGCTTTTTTTTTTTTTCTTTTGAGACAGGGTTTCACCATGTTTCCCAGCCTGGTCTCCTGATCTCAAACAATCTGCCTGCCTTATCCCAAAGTGCTGGGATTACAGGCAGGAAACACTATGACTGGCTGTGACTGGCAGGGGACTTTCTTTTTAATCTTTGTATTCCTTGGTTTGTTGAAGTGTTTCATACATTTTTGTTGAAGGATAAATTACACTGTCTTCATTCTCTTCATGGTCTAGTGAGGATGCATAAATAATTCTAGGGGGAAAAAGCAGGGTGTTAAGGAATCAGGTTAGAAACATATTCCAGGTAAAGTAATAGTTAAGAATCCTAACGGGTGTGAATAGAAGTAGACTGCAGAAAACAGGAATGTGTGCCACAAATAGAGTGGCACCACAATCAAATATTAATGTATGCCAAAAAATTTAAAAAGAAGTGCCTATTATATACACATTATATTAACACATTTAAATAATTTTTTAGTATTTTTATGGGCCAGAGACTTAACATCATTCTATGAGATGGGTAATTATTATCTCCAGTTTACACAGAAACAAAGTGAATGAATACGGACATAATCAATACCCTGCCCACATCCTCTTGCCCACCATTAAGGCCACCTGCAGCTTCAATGGGAGTTCCCATGCATCTCATGCCAATGGCTTCAAATCTCAACTACTTATCTTTCTGGCAGCAAGAGCATGCTGCTCAAGGGAAGGCTGCCAAGGGAAGTACCAGAGAATTACATTCCCAGGAGTAACCCTCAACCACTGAGAGAAGGGAATTGGTATATCTCAGTTTTCTTGCCCCTCAGTGGAATAATTCTGAGTTCTGTTTTATATAGTCTTTCAGAGGGTCTCCAGTAGAATTGAGTTCCAGTTGCCCTCAGTAGAAACCTTATTTTTTGACACAATTTTTATTGGCTTTCCTCTCTTACCAGTCTCACTTCCTTACCATGCTTCCCAAATAAAGTTCTCTGTATCCTAATTCTTGTCTTAGGGCCATAGTTGTGCAGGAGCCCAATTTAAGACAAATAAATTGCTTAAAGAGATACACAGCGAATAAATAGCTTAGATTCATGTGTCCACACAGCCTACACTCCATTATATTTATACTACCTTTTAACTTGTTTTGAACATTCTTTTTCCAATTCATTAGGCATGTTACATTGGCTGGCAATTATATTCATATGTTGCATAAACTCAGAGGGTGGGACTATAGAAATTCAAAAGTGAAATACTAACTTTGAACACACATCACTTTTGACAGTGAATAAGATGGATCCCATTTTGAAAAACATTTGATGGATTATACTAACAGAAAATATATTCAGGCTGAATTGGTTGCTTTTATCATGTTCTGTGCTTATGTTTCATATGTTAAGTTTCAGCAAATCTTAATTTTGGAATAAGTTAGCCTTGATATTACTTTTTACCCCTAGTACATTTCATTACCATTACCCTGCAAAAATGAGGTCATCCCTAAAGGACAGGCTCCTGACTTCTACCTTAATTAGCATGTGGTGGGAAATAAGTTTCTTTCCAGAAAGTGTTCAGATATAAGGAAGTGGGGAATGAGGATTATGTCATTATTCCAAAGACCATTTTGGAAGGGTGAGAATAAGGCAACTTTTCTTAGTTTTAGACTTAACACTTTCTCCTTTTAAAAAGATTTGAGCCTTTCCCTTACAATCAGTACAAGGGATCCTTTATTGCAAGCCGCAGGCGTCAACTAGAGCACAGACTCTTCAAGTGACTCTAGATCAGAGAGAGGAATGCCATTGACTCCAAATCCCCAAAGCCCAGTGGATGCCAAGGAATGGGAGCAAGAGAAAACGAGTGAAAATTGGTGCCATGTTGCTAACTCAGACCTGCAAATAGGAGACTCCACGTAGGCCACCAACCCCCATAGGAGCAAAAAGAGCGGGGGCCATTTTTCCCCCTAGTACGTTCGAAGCTTGCTAGGTGGCAGTAATGGAGAGTGAGGACTGAGGACGAGTGAGGAGTGGGAAGACCAACCAGGCCAACTCATGAGCCTAGAGGTGACGGGCGTGCCCAGAGCTTTCGCAACTGGGCGGTGCCTCTGCTACTGGCTGGAAGCCAGAGCCTCGCGCCCGAAGCCAGGCCAGGCCTGGAAGCCAGAGTCTCTGGAAAGCCGGGACTTGAAGGCAGGAAGCCTGGGGCTCGGGGGTCAGAAGCTGTCGCCTCTTTTGGAATGGTTAGCTGAAGTTGGCGCCAGGCTTTAGTTGGATGTAACTTGACGGAAGGGGACCAAGCCCTCCACTGTGCTCCCAGCGGTCTCCTTCAAGTCAATTGCCACAGTCCCAGATCCAGACTCAGGTTTTTTTGAGGTAACCTGTTTCCGCAGCTCGCCAAACCCGGTGGTGTGTCAAGTCTTCGTCTTGGAGAATTTCGCCTTTGCCCTTCCTTCTAGGCAGTGGCTACAGTGAAGAGCTTTAGGCTGAGTTTCCCCAGGACACACTGTAGTTGAGTCACTTACTATTAGCATTTAATTCAGCAGCATGTAGTAGATTTATATGTGCATCCAAGTCGTGAAACAAAGGTCAGTTTGACTTTGCATATTAACTTTGGCATAGTAATTTAATTTTTTTCAACCAACATGTGGTACTAAGAGTCTTTGTGCCAAATCCCAAGGAAATGAAACATAGTTCTTGGTCTCAGGGAGCACCCAAATTAGGTAAGAATGCTCAATTCAAGCACAGGAATACTTCTTCATAGGTGTTAAATTCAATGAGCATTTATTAAGCATCCATGAGTATTAAGCTCTGTGCTAGTTATTGGACATAGGAAGTTGAATCATTCTTCGTCCTAGTGCTCTGAGCTCACAGTCTTGGTGGGGGAAAGGGAAAGAGCAGAAAACGATTACCTTTAAAGGTACAAGACAAACACTGATAAATGCCACTACCCAGATTTAAACAATTGAAAGTACGGGAGACAGAGAACTGAGTTATATGTGTAGAGGGAATTGGAAAGGCTTTGTAGAGGAGGTAACATGAGTGAGCTGGCCGTGGAAGGAGAGGTTATGTTTATAAGTAGAGTTCTGGCTTAAGTACTTTCTAACAGACCTTACTTGAGGGCTTTGCTCCATTTTTATCTTTTATTTTCTCTGGCTGTCTAGTCTACTTTGCCATCCACCAACCCAGCCCTTTATCTGTTTTCTTGGAACTAGCCTAGGCTAAGTTATCACATTTACAAAGGATAATTACCTTTTATTTAAAAAACTTATTTCTGCAGGGACAGTATTTGTGAAGAAAGAATTTTCATTTTTTAGAATTTGTTTTAGCCAAGTCAACAAAGCAAGGTTCCTGTAGCCCATCTGTTAGAACACAAAAATAGCCTCACTGTGTAGAAACAGATGTTTAAAATGGTATTCATTAAAATGGATTCCACCTGTAATAGAAAACAGACAGTGTATGCAAAAGGAATGTTGTAAGCTGGCAGTACTCGCTATCACTTTCCATTCTGTTAGGAATGTATATTTCTGGGTAAAATCTTCCTAATAGGAATATGCTTCTGGTTTTAGTGTCTAGTGATAGGGTTATTAGTCATATTGAAACACAATTACCCTAGACTCCTTAGGAGGATAAAAGTCATGGGAAAAAATACCTCTAGAGTGAGTGTCTTCTTACCAATGAACAAAGTTATCTTTGATAGAAAAGTCATGACTACCCTATATTAGTGACAGAAATTAACATTTACCAATTACCTTCTGTGTCAGGTGCTTTGTTGTTCACTTTTAGAAGAATCCCATAATGGAGATATTATCCTTATTCTACAGGTGAGGAATTTGAGAATGTGCAATAAATTAAATAACTTGCCCAAAGTCACAGCTAGATTAGAATCCAAGACTCACATTCCTAAGCCAAAGTGCTCTTTCCACTATTTTGTTGCCAAATGCCAGGAGTTTGGCCTAGGTCTTATTGCTCTCCATATAGAAAGCCAATCACTGAGAAAAGGAATATTGCCCAGGAAGGAAAGCTTTATTGCAGATGACATCAACCTAATAATTAAATCTGTCTCTCCTTAACTGGCTAAAATTATGGGCTTATATAACAGGGAAGGAAAACAGGAGGGACAAGGAAGAGGAGTTGGTCAACAAGGAGCAGGTGCCTCTCATTGTTCAGGTGTGGTGATCTGGAAAGCCTCAGCTCCCTGCTACCATCTGGGAGGCCTGATGGTGGTTTCCTGAGAAAGAAACTCAGATAAGACAAATGTAAATTTCTCAAGCTTAGTTTTATGGGAAAATTGGGCTGGTTTTAATTTCACATTGATTTTGCAACAGTGGAGGCACAAAGAGTCACCTACACTTTCAAGTGGAGTATTTGGGATGCAAATCCAGGTCTATCTGATTCCAAAGCTCAAACCTGTGTCCCTCTTCTATATATTTTTGGTCTTTGCCTCTAGTTCATTTAGCCCCATTTATGTCATAGAGGAAAAGCAGACACCATCTAGTGGAACAGACAGAGTTCTAAATTATAATTAGCAAGCCCAGGCTAGCATTTATAACTGTAAGCAGCTCAGAAAAACATTATGCAAACTGGTGAAAATACATGAGCCATTTTTAACGGATATCAAGGGGAGATTACTTCTTATTACTTCTTAAATCGTAGTCTTTCATTCATTGATCCAACAAATAATTGTTGATTTCTTACTTTGTGTGAGGCATAGGAGTAATCAGACAAAAGTTCCTTCTTCATGGAGTTTGCATCCTGATTGGTGATGCAGGCAATAAGATAAATATAAATAATTTATTTATTTTTCCTTGCAAAAAAAGATAAATATAAATCAGAAAAATATCTTGCACATTAGTTGGTAAGTGTTGAATAGAAAAATAATAGGGGCTGGGTGCGGTGGCTTACACCTGTAATCCCAGCACTTTGGGAGGCTGAGGCTGGCGGATAATGAGGTCGGGAGATCGAGACCATCCTGGCCAATATGGTGAAACCCCGTCTCTACTAAAAATACAAAAATTAGCTGGGTGTGGTGGCGTGTGCCTGTAGTCCCAGCTACTTGGGAGGCTGAGGCAGGAGAATCACTTGAACCCGGGAGGCAGAGTTTGCAGTGGGCTGAGATCATGCCACAGCACTCTAGCCTAGCGACACAGCGAGACTCCATCTAAAAAAAAAAAAAAAGAAACAAAGAGAAAGAAAGTAGGGACCAGGCATGGGGGCTCATGCCTGTAATCCCAGCACTTTGGGAGGCCGAGGTGGGTGGATCACTTGAGGTCAGGAGTTTGAAACCAGCCTGGCCAACATGGAGAAACCCTGTCTTTACTAAAAATACAAAAAATTAGCCAGGCATTACGCGCCTGTAATCTCAGCTACTCGG